>NC_000006.12:100828365-100979880 GCF_000001405.40 Homo sapiens | reverse complement strand
CAAGGGAGTTGCTTGACAGCTAGATTCTTCTCTACAAATATTTTAGTTTCTTAAAGGGAGAAAATAGTTCTTTCTATAATATCATTCAGAGAGGACAAAAGAGGAAAATATGGATCAATGACCATGGGATAATGTAATGACTGTACCAGTGTCCACAATGACCTGGCTGTCTGCTGGCTGTAGGCATTCCCACCTAAACTGCAGAGGGAACATGAAGTGTTAAGTGGTGGATAACATAAATAAGAACATCACCTTTAGGGAACAAGTGACACAAGCTCTCTCCTTACAGGGTAGCTGGTCCCAAAACATACGACCTCTGGGCCCAGATGAACAGCACAGAGGGAAAGCCCAGAGAGCTCAAAGCAAATTTGTGCAACTCAACAGGCATGAGGGTGAGCTTGTGAAAGTGGTTCTGAAAGGGTGAGCGCAGATAAAAGGAGCAGGAGAGGCCACAGCATGATGGGGCTCGGGAGCGAGAGTGAGTCATTTAACATAAAGAATAAAGAAGAGAAAAAGTGGAGCAGAAAAGAGAATGTTAACAACTAGAGTGACTGCAGGAGAAAGGGAAAATGAACACTTAAATACATTTGTATCCAGAAAAGCAAACCCCAGTTACATAACTAGCATTTAGTAAACACTGAACCAGTTCATATAAAAAAGATGTGGGAAGATGGAAGAGGAGAACAGGCAATGAAGACACTGGGACAAATGCTGAGGTGGCTCTCTTCATCTAGGGGCAAAGCTAAATACCTTTTGGTTGTACATTGTAATGTCATTGATGTTTAATTTGGCTATTTAGTAAATTCAGATATTTTATATTTAAAGCTAATTTTAAAGAAAGTGTCCAAAGAGAATTCTAAAAGACCATTTGCTTATTATTTTTAATTATCAATTTTTTTAATTACCAAATTCAGGACTGACACCCAGTAAACCTGTGCATGACAGAGGCATGTACCCTTCCTACACAACAGAAAGGAAATGGCAGTGTTTCTGGCAAATTCCCTTAAAAAAGGGTGATTTGAGGGATACTCATGATCAAGATTGCATTTGAATGATATTATTTCACTATATCAGAGTAAAACCTGGTACACGAATCTGCTTCTATTATAACCTGAGTCCATGCAGTTAATGGTTTGGTCTTTCTTTAAAATATAAACATGGCTCAAACTCAGTATTGAAAATTTCAGTGGGTCAGTAGACACTGTTAAGAATACAAAATTAAAACCAATGTTAAAACCTGTTAGAATCTTTTTTATTAAAAAAAATGCAGGCTCACAGAAAATACACGCTAGGTAGGTTATTAAAGCTCCAAACTAAAATAATTTATTTCCATATAAGTTAAAATGTTAATGAAATGTCTTTACCAAGGGCAAGAAAAAGAAAAGGATTAAACAAACTACAGTTGTGTAACTCTGACTTAAGGGACAATAGCCATGATGAACCTATTATCTCTTTTTCCAGGCAAGATATTTACTGAATCCACTTTTTAAACCAGCCAAAATTGCAAAATGCAATTCATTCTTTAAATAATTGGAAATCAGTATTGTGAATAGATTTTGATTGCTAGAAAAAATGTTAGCTTTTTCTTATTAGCAAAGTGCAGCTGAAAATGGAGAAGAAAGACAAATAAAATATGGACTTGTTAATGGGCCCTGGAAAAATAAATGAGGTTTTCTTAATTTCTTAGTGACTGTGGAGAGAGTGTTTATGTGACATTGAAAAAGACAGTTCTGTTGCAGCTCTGAAAAGTTAAGTACAGAGTATATAGAAATTGTTATTTAATTAGGCCAGATTTTTTTCCTCTAGCAATTTTCTGAAGAATACTTTTAAAAATAAAAAGCTAAATATTAAATCACTTATTCTTTTCTTGTTATATTTGTTAAAGTCTTCAATATCCAGGAAATATATAGACTCATTTATTCCAGAGATAAACAGACTTTCAAGGTACATAATTTCTTAGAAAGTGCTGAGTCTTAAATCTGGAGATAGATGGAAAGAAAAGGTCTCTGCTCCAAAGTGTACTTTTTTTGTTGTTTATTTCCAACTTTTATTTTAAGTTCAGGGGTACATGTGCATGATGTGCAGGATTGTTACATAGGTAAACATGTGCCATGGTGATTAGCTGCACAGATCATCCTATTTCCTAGGTATTAAGCTCAGCATTCATTAGCTATTCTTTCTGATACTCTCCCTCCTCCCACCCCCCCACCCTCTGATGGACCCCAGTGTATGTTGTTCCCCTGATGTGTACACGTGTTCTCATCATTCAGCTCCCACTTAAGAGTGAGAACATGCAGTATTTGATTTTCCTTTTTTGTGCTAGTTTGCTGAGAATAATGGCTTCCAGCTCCATCCATGTCCCTGCAAAGGAGATGATCTCATTTCCTTTTATGGCTGCATAGTATTCCATGGTGTACATGTACCACATTTTCTTTATCTAATCTATCATTGATGGGCATTTAGGTTGATTCCACATTTTTCCTATTGTGAATAGTGCTTCAGTGAACATATGTGTGCATGTATCTTTATAATAGAATGATTTATATTCCTTTGGGTATACACCCAGTAATGGGATTGCTGCGTCAAATGGTATTTCTGCCTCTAGATCTTTAAGGAATTGGCACACTGTCTTCCACAATGGTTGAACTAATTGACACTCCCACCAACAGTGTATAAGGATTTCTTTTTCTCCACAATCTCACCAGCATCTGTTGTTTTTTTGACTTTTTAGTAATAGCCATTCTGACTGGCGTGAGATTGTATCTCACTGTGGTTTTTGTTTGCATTCCTCTAATGATCAGTGATAGTGAGCTTTTTTTCATATGCTTGTTGGCCATAAGTATTCTTCTTTTACAAAGCATTTGTTTCAGTCTTTTGCCCACTTTTTAATGGGGTTGTTTGTTTATTTATTATAATTTAAGTTCCTTGTAGATGCTGGATATTAGACCTTTGTCAGATGGGTAGATTGCAAAAATGTTCTCCTTTTCTATAGATGTCTATTTACTCTGACAATAGCTTTTTATCCTGTGCAGAAGCTCTTTAGTTTAATTAGATGCCATTTGTCAATTTTTGCTTTTGTCATAGTTGCTTTTGGCATCTTCATCATGAAATGTTTGCCTGTGCCTATGTCCTGAATTGTATTGCCTAGGTTGTCTTGAGGGTTTTTATAGTTTTGGGTTTTACATTTACGTCTTTAATCCATCTGGAGTTGATTTTTTTATATGGTGTAAGAAAGGGGTCCAGTTTCAATTTTCTGCATATGGCTAGCCAGTTCTCCCAGCACCATTTATTAAATAGGCAATCCTTCCCCCATTGCTTGTTTTTTTCAGGTTTATCAGAGATCAGATGGTTGTAGGTGTGTGGTCTTATTTCCAGTTCTATTCTGTTCCATTGGTCTATGTGTCTGTTCTTGCACCAGTACCATGCTATTTTGGTTACTGTAGCCTTGTAGTGTAGTTTGAAGTCGAGTAGTGTGATGCCTTCAGCTTTCTTCACGTTTAGGATTGTCTTGGCTATTCAGGCTCTTTTCAGGTTCCATATGAATTTTAAAATAGTTTTTCCAAATTCTGTGAAGAATGTCAATGGTAGTTTAATGGGAATATATCTATAAACTGCTTTGGGCAGTATGGCTATTTTCACAATATTGATTCTTCCTATCTATGAGCATGGAATATTTTTCTATTTCTTTGTGCCCTCTCTGATTTATTTGAGCAGTGGTTTGCAGTTCTCCTTGAAAAGGTCCTTCACTTCCCTTGTCACCTGTGTTTCTAGGTATTCTATTCTTTTTGTGACAATTGTGAATGGGATTTCATTCCTGATTTGTCTCTTGGCTTGACTGTTGTTGGTGTATAGGAATGCTAGTGACTTTCACACATTCATTTTGTATCCTAAAATTTTGTGAAAGTTGCTTCTCATGTTAAGAAGTTTCAGGCTGTGACAATGGGGTTTTCTAGACATAGGATCATGTCATCTGCAAACAATGATAATTTGACTTCAACTCTTCCTGTCTGAATACAATTTATTTCTTTCTCTTCTCTGATTGCCCTGGCCAGAACTTTCAATACTGTGGTTAATAGGAGTGGTGAGAGAGGGCATCCTTGTCTTGTGGTGGTTTTCACGGGGAATGCTTCCAGATTTTGCCCATTGTATGATATTGGCTGTGGGTTTGTCATATCTGGCTCTTATCATTTTTAGGTGTGTTCCTTCAATATCTAGTTTATCAAGACTTCTTAGCACAAAGGGATGCCAAATTTTATCGAAGTCCTTTTATGTATCTATTGAGATAACCATGTGGTTTTTGTATTTAGTTCTGTTTATGTGATGAATCACATCTATTAATTTGCAAATTTTTTTTTTACTTTTTTATTATTATACTTTAAGTTCTAGGGTACATGTGCAAAACGTGCAGTTTTGTTACATATTTATACGTGTGCTGTGTTGGTTTGCTGCATTCATCAACTCGACATTTACATTAGATATTTCTGCTAATACTATCCCTCCCCCAGCCAGCCCCGGTGTGTGATGTTCCCCGCCCTGTGTCCATATGTTCTTATTGTTCAACTCCCACTTATGAGTGAGAACACGTGGTGTTCGGTCTTCTGTCCTTGTGATAGTTTTCTGAGAATGATGGTTTCCCGCTTCATCTATGTCCCTGCAAAGGACATGAACTCATCCTTTGTTATGGCTGCATAGTATTCCATGGTGTATATGTGCCACATTTTCTTAATCCAGTCTATCATTGATGGACATTTGGGTTGGTTCCAAGTCTTTGCTATTGTGAATAGTGCCACAATAAACATATGTGTGCATGTGTCTTTATACTAATATGATTTATAAACCTTTGGGTATATACCCAGTAATGGATGGCTGGGTCAAATGGTATTTCTAGTTCTAGGTCCTTGAGGAATCTCCACACTGTCTTCACAATGGTTGAACTAGTTTACACTCCCACCAACAGTGTAAAAGCATTCCTATTTCTCCACATCCTCTCCAGCACATGTTGTTTCCTAACTTTTTAAGGATCGCCATTCTAATTGGTGTGAGATGGTATCTCATTGTGGTTTTGATCTGCATTTCTCTGATGACCAGCGATGATGAGCATTTTCTCATGTGTCTGTTGGCTGCATAAATGTCTTCTTTTGAAAAGTGTCTGTTCGTATCCTTTGCCCACTTTTTGATGGGGTTGTTTGATTTTTTTCTTGTAAATTTGTTTAAGTTCTTTGTAGATTTTGGATATTAGCCCTTTGTCAGACAGGTAGATTGTAAAAATTTTCTTCCATTCTGTAGGTTGCCTGTTCACTCTGATGATAGTTTCATTTGCTGTGCAGAAGCTCTTTACTTTAATTAGATCCCATTTGTCAATTTTGGCTTTTGTTGCTATTACTTTAGGTGTTCTAGTCATGAAGTCCTTGTCCATGCCTACCTCCTGAATGGTATTGCCTAGGTTTTCTTCTAGAGTTTTTATGGTTTTAGGTCTAACATTTAAGTCTTTAATCCATCTTGAATTAATTTTTGTATAAGGTGTAACGAAGGGATCCTGGTTCAGCTTTCTACGTATGGCTAGCCAGTTTTCCCAGCACCATTTATTAAATAGGGAATCCTTTCCCCATTGCTTGTTTTTGTCAGGTTTGTCAAAGATCAGATGGTTGTAGATATGTGGCATTATTTCTGAGGGCTCTGTTCTGTTCCATTGGTCTATATCTCTGTTTTGGTACCAGTACCATGCTGTTTTGGTTACTGTAGCCTTGTAGTATAGTTTGAAGTCAGGTAGCATGATGCCTCCAGCTTTGTTCTTTTGGCTTAGGATTGTCTTAGCTATGTGGCCTCTCTTTAAAGTAGTTTTTTCCAATTCTGTGAAGAAAGTCATTGGTAGCTTGATGGGGATGGCACTGAATCTATAAATTACCTTGGGCAATATGGCCATTATCAACATATTGATTCTTCCTACCCATGAGCATGGAAGGTTCTTCCATTTGTTTGTATCCTCTTTCATTTCATTGAGCAGTGGTTTGTAGTTCTCCTTGAAGAGGTCCTTCACATCCCTTGTAATCTGGATTCCTAGGTATTTTATCCTCTTTGTAGCAATTGTGAATGGGAGTTCACTCATGATTTGGCTCTCTGTCTGTTATTGGTGTGTAAGAATGCTTGTGATTTTTGCACATTGATTTTGTATCCTGAGACTTTGCTGAAGTTGCTTATCAGCTTAAGGAGATTTGGGGCTGAGATGATGGGGTTTTCTAAACATACAATCATGTCATCTGCAAACAGAGACAATTTGACTTCCTCTTTTCCTAATTGAATACCCTTTATTTCTTTCTGTTGCCTGATTGCCCTGGCCAGAACATCCAACACTATGTCAAATAGGAGTGGTGAGAGAGGGCATCCCTGTCTTGTGCCAGTTTTCAAAGGGAATGCTTCCAGTTTTTGCCCATTCAGTATGATACTGGCTGTGGGTTTGTCATAAATAGTACTTATTATTTTGAGATACGTTCCATCGATACCTAGTTTATTGAGAGTTTTTAGCATGAAGGGCTGTTGAATTTTGCCGAAGGCCTTTTCTGCATCTATTGAGATAATCATGTGGCTTTTGTCTTTGGTTCTGTTTATGTGATGGATTACGTTTACTGATTTGTGTATGTTGAACCAGCCTTGCATCCCAGGGATGAAACCAACTCGATCTTGGTGGATAAGCTTTTTGAGGTGCTGCTGGATTTGGTTTGCCAGTATTTTATTGAGGATTTTCACATCGATGTTCATCAAGGATATTGGTCTAAAATTCTCTTTTTTTGTGTTGTCTCTGCCAGGCTTTAGTATCAGGATGATGCTGGCCTCATAAAATGAGTTAGGGAGGATTCCCTCTTTTTCTATTGATTGGAATACTTTCAGAAGGAATGGTACCAGCTCTTCTTTTTACCTCTGATAGACTTCGGCTGTGAATCCGTCTGGTCCTGGACTTTTTTTAGTTGGTAGGCTATTAATTATTGCCTCAATTTCAGAACCTGTTATTGGTCTATTCATCGAGTCAACTTCTTCCTGGTTTAGTCTTAGGAGGGTATATGTGTCCAGAAATTTACCCATTTTTTCTAGATTTTCTAGTTTATTTGCATAAAGGTGTTTATAGTATTCTCTGATGATAGTTTGTATCTCTGTGGGATTGGTGGTGATATCCCCATTATCATTTTTTATTGTGTCTATTTGATTCTTCTCTCTTTTCTTCTTTATTAGTCTTGCTAGTGGTCTATCTATTTTATTGATCTTTTCAAAAAACCAGCTGTTCAATTCATTGATTTTTTGAAGGGTTTTTTTGTGTCTCTATCTCTTTCAGGTCTGCTCTGATCTTAGTTATTTCTTGCCTTCTGCTAGCTTTTGAATGTGTTTCCTCTTGCTTCTCTAGTTCTTTTAGTTATGTTAGGGTGGCGATTTTACATCTTTCCTGATTTCTCTTGTGTGCATTTAGTGCTATAAATTTCCCTCTACACACTGCTTTAAATGTGTCCCAGAGATTCTGGTACCTTCTGTCTTTGTTCTCATTGGTTTCAAACAACATCTTTATTTCTGCCATCATTTCATTATTTACCCAGTAGTCATTCAGGAGCACGCTGTTCAGTTTCCATGTAGTTGTGTAGTTTTGAGTGAGTTTCTTAATCATGAGTTCTAATTTGATTTCACTGTGGTCTGAGAGACAGTTTGTTGTGATTTCTGTTCTTTTACATTTGCTGAGGAGTGCTTTACTTCCAACTATGTGGTCAATTTTGGAATAAGTGCAATGTGGTGCTGAGAAGAATGTATATTCTGTTGAGTTGGGGTGGAGAGTTCTGTAGATGTCTATTAGGTCTGTTTGGTGTAGAGCTGAGTTCAAGTCCTGGATATCGTTGTTAATCTACTGATTAACTGATTAACAACATTGATCTGTCTAATATTGACAGTGGGGTGTTAAAGTCTCCCATTATTATTGTGTGGGAGTCTAAGTCTCTTTGTAGGTCTCTCAGGACTTGCTTTATGAATCTGGGTGCACCTGTATTGGATGCATATATATTTAGGATAGTTAGCTCTTCTTTTTGAATTGAACCCTTTACCATGATGTAATGGCCTTTTTTGTCTCTCTTTTTTTTAATCTTTTTTATTATACTTTAAGTTCTAGAGTACATGTGCATAATGTGCAGGTTTGTTACATATGTATATATGTGCCATGTTGGTGTGCTGCATCCATTAACTCGTCATTTACATTAGGTATATCTCCTAATGCTATCCCTCCCCACTCACCCCACCCAACAACAGGCCCTGGTGTGTGATGTTCCCCTTCGTGTGTCCATGGGTTCTCATTGTTCAATTCCCACCTATGAGTGAGAACATGCAGTGTTTGGTTTTTTGTCCTTGCAATAGTTCGCTGAGAATGATGGTTTCCAGCTTCCTCCATGTCCCCACAAAGGACATGAACTCATCATTTTTTTATGACTGCATAGTATTCCATGGTGTATATGTGCCACGTTTTCTTAATCCAGTCTCTCATTGTTGGACATTTGGGTTGGTTCCAAGCCTTTGCTATTGTGATTAGTGCCACAATAAGCATACGTGTGCATGTGTCTTTATAGCACCATGATTTATAATCCTTTGGGTATATACCCAGTAATGGGATGGCTGGGTCAACTGGTATTTCTAGTTCTAGATCCCTGAGGAATTGCCACACTGCCTTCCACAATGGTTGAACTAGTTTACACCCCTACACTCCCACCAACAGTGTAAAAGTGTTCCTATTTCTCCACATCATTGTCTCTTTTAATCTTTGTTGGTTTAAAGTCTGTTTTATCAGAGACTAGGATTGCAACCCCTCCCTTTTTTTTTTTTGCTTTCCATTTGCTTGGCAGATCTTCCTCCATTCCTTTATTTTGAGCCTATCTGCATCTCTGCACATGAGATGAGTCCCCTGAATACAGCACACTGATTGTTCTTGACTCTTTTTCCAATTTGCCAGTCTGTGTCTTTTAATTGGGGCATTTAGCCCCAATTAAATTAACCTTACTTTTAACGTTAATATTGTTATGTGTGAATCTGATCCTGTCATTATGATGTTAGCTGGTTATTTTGTCTGTTAGTTGATGCAGTTTCTTCCTAGCATCGATGGTCTTTACAATTTGGCATGTTTTTGCAGCGGCTGGTATCGGTCGTTCCTTTCCATGTTTAGTGCTTCCTTCAGGAGCTCTTGTAAGGCAGGCCTGGTGGTGACAAAATCTCTCAGTATTTGCTTTTCTGTAAAGGCTTTTATTTCTCCTTCACGTATGAAGCTTAGTTTGGCTGGATATGAAATTCTGAGCTGAAAATTCTTTTCTTTAAGAATGTTGAATATTGGTCCCCACTCTCTTCTGGCTTGTAGGGTTTCTGCCAACAGATCTGCTGTTAGTCTGATGGGCTTCCCTTTGTGGGTAACCCAACCTTTCTTTCTGGCTGCCCTTAGCATTTTTTCCTTCATTTCAACTTTGGTGAATCTGACAATATGTGTCTTGGAGTTGCTCTTCTCAAGGATTATCTTTGTGGTGTTCCGTGTATTTCCTGAATATGAATGTTGGCCTGCCTTGCTAGGTTGGGGAAGTTCTCCTGGATAGTATCCTGCAGAGTGTTTTCCAGCTTGGTTCCATTCTCCCCATCACTTTCAGGTACACCAATCAAACGTAGATTTGGTTCACATAGTCCCATATTTGTTGTAGGCTTTGTTTGTTTCTTTTTACTCTTTTTTCTCTAACCTTGTCTTCTCGCGGTATTTCATTAATTTAATCTTCAATCACTGATACCCTTTCTTCCACTTGGATCAAATCAGGTATTGAAGCTTGTGCATGCTTCATGAAGTTCTCATGCCATGGTTTTCAGCTCCATCAGGTCTTTAAAGTCTTCACTACACTGTTTATTCTAGTTAGCCATTCATCTAAGCTTTTTTCAAGGTTTTTAGCTTCCTAGATATGAGTTCAAACATCCTCCTTTACCTTGGAGAAGTTTGTTATTACTGACCTTCTGAAGCCTACTTTTGTCAACTCATCAAAGTCATTCTCCATCCGGCTTTGTTCCATTGCTGGCATGGAGCTGCAATCCTTTGGAGGAGAAGAGGCACTCTGATTTTTAGAATTTTTAGCTTTTCTGCTCTGGTTTCTCCCCCTCCTTGTGGTTCTTATCTGCCTTTGGTCTTTGACATTGGTGACCTACAGATGGGGTTTTGGTGTGGATGTCCTTTTTGTTGATGTTGATTCTATTCCTTTCTGTTTGTTAGTTTTCCTTCTAACAGTCAGGTCCCTTAGCTGCAGGTATACTGGAGTTTCCTGGAGGTCCACTCCAGGCCCTGTTTGCTTGGGTATCAACAGCGGAGGCTGCAAAACAGGAAATATTGCAGAACAGCAAATATTGTTGCCTGATCCTTCCTCTGGAAGCTTCGTTCCAGAGGGGCACCCACCTGTTTGAGGTGTCTATTGGCCCCTACTGGGAGGTGTCTCCCAGTTAGGCTACACGGGGGTCAGGGACCCACTTAAGGAGGCAGTCTGTCCATTCTCAGAGCACAAATGTCATGCTGGGAGAACCACTGCTCTCTTCAGAGCTGTCAGCTGAAGAAGTTGTCTGCTGCCTTTTGTTTAGCTATGCCCTGCTCACAGATGTGGAGTCCTGAGGCAGCAGGCCTTGTTGAGCTGTGGTGGGCTCCGCCCAGTTTGAGCTTCCCCAGCTGCTTGTTTACCTACTTAAGCCTCAGCAATGGTGGATGCCCTTCCCCCAGCCAGGCTGCCGCCTAGCGGTTCAATCTCAGACTGCTGTGCTAGCAGAGAGCAAGGCTCCATGGGCATGGGACCCACCGAGCCCAGCAAGGGAGAGAATCTCCTTGTCTGCCGGTTGCTAAGACCTTAGGAAAAGTGCAGTATTTGGGCAGAAGTGTCCCCTTGTTCCAGGTAGTCTGTCACGGCTTCCCTTGGCTAGGAAAGGGAAATCCCCCGACCCCTTGTGCTTCCCAGGTGAGGCAATGCCCCACCCTGCTTCAGCTCGCCTTCCGTGGGCTGCACCCACTGTCCAACCAGTCCCAGTGACAGGAACCAGGTACCTCAGTTGGAAATGCAGAAATCACCTGTCTTCTGCGTTAATCATGCTGGGAGCTGCAAACTGGAGTTGTTCCTATTCGGCCATCTTACCACACCTCTCCCGGATTCATTAATTTTTTTAAGGGTTTTACATGTCTCTACCTCCTTCAATTCAGCCCTGATCTTGGTTATTTCTTGTCTTCTGCTGGCTTTGGGGTTTGTTTGCTCTTGGTTCTCTAGCTCTTTTAGTTGAGATATTAGGTTGTAAACTTGAGATTTTTCTAGCTTTTTGATACGGGCATTCAGTGCTATAAATTGCCCTCGTAACACTGCTTTCGCCACGTCCCAGAGATTGAGGTACATTGTCTCTTTGTTCTCATAATTTTCAGAGAACTTCTTGATTTCTGCCTTATTTACCCAAGATTTATTCAGGAGCAGGTTGTCCAATTTCCATGTAGTTGTGTGGTTTTGAGCGAATTTCTTAATCTAGAGTTCTAATTTGATTGCACTGTGGTCTGAAAGCCTGTTTATTATTATTTCAGTTTTTATGCATTTCCTGAGGAGTGTTTTACTTCCAATTAGGTGATCAATTTTAGAGTAAGTGCCATGTGGTGATGAGAGGAATGTACATTCTGTTGTTTTTGGGTGGAGAGTTCTGTAGATATCTAGCAGGTCCTCTTGATCCAAAGTTGGGTTTGGCTCCTGCAAATCTTTTTTAGTTTTCTATCTCGATGATCTGCCTAATATTGTCAGTGGGGAGTTAAAGTCTCGCACTATTATTGTGTTAGAGTCTAAGTCTCTTCAAAGGTCTCAAAGAACTTGCTTTATGAATCTGGGTGTTTTTGTATTGGACACGTATATATTGAAGAAAGTTACCTCTTCTTGCTGAATTGAACCCTTTACCATTATGTAATGCCCTTTGTCTTTTTTTGTCTTTGTTGATGTGAAGTCTGTTTTGTCTGAAACTAAGGTTGTAACCCCGCTTTTTTCTGTTTTCCATGAAATACTAATCCACTTTTTACATTGTCTAATTTATTAACTTTTTCTTAACAATTGATATCAAGAAGTATAATTGTTGCATTTCTTGTGCTTTGGACTTCTTTAAAAAAGAGATGATTAATATTTTTTCTATATTTTCCATTTATTAAATGCAAAAGTAAAACCTCCATATTTAATAATCAATGTTCTCTGGCCTTTCTTAGTTAATGACATAAACCTCCCACTTTATGAAAATTAAATACTCTCCTTATTTTCATTCAATGATAAATCTCATTGACACCTGGAATCATAATCTAATGGATATACATACTTCCTTTCACCACCTGAACTGTCTTTAGGCTCAGGTAAGAGGGAACACGGACCTGAGCTCTGCACTTTTTAGAGCCAGTTTCTAAGGCCTGCAAAGAGTTTGGACAGGTGGACCAAGTTGAGCATATATGTGGACGTAAGTCCCTCACAGAGCCAGCAGTAGAAAGAAAAATGGGTAAGCCACCTCATTTGAGCATAGAACCTCATGGAGTCTGAGATCCCTAACTTTAAATCTGGCCTTTCTAATAATTATGAAGGTCAATTTGTAAAAGAAATAGGATAAAACATATTTTATTCAACAATCTGTTAGTTTGATTTGTAACTTTAAATATTTAGACATCTGGGCCTCCATTTTACTCATCCCCTGTTCCTATGATGTAAGGAGTAGACAGGACAGCCACCATCCTCCATGTCATGTGCCAGACATGAGGCTAAGGGGACACATGGAAAGGTGAACAGTGAAAATGTATGTAAGTCACTTTAAAAATAAATTGATTAGGAAATTAATTAACAGATATTCTCTACTTTGTTTTTACATTCCTTCTGTTAAATTTTTAAGTCCATCTTCAAAACAGAGCTAAACAGAACTTGCTAGTCAATTTCCCTGTTAGTCAATGCCTGTTCTAGGAATAGTGGGCCCCAAACCCCCTTCTGAATGGACAGGGGGCTGTGTTATCCCTCCTCCCCTTGGCCTAGTTTACTAGATGATTGTGGGTAACTTGTCTGAGCTGGACAAATTATGATTTGTCCCAAAATCAGTTATAAGGATACAAGAATTCTAGTTTATCTCTGATGGGCAGTTCACTTAAGGGATACAGTGCCAAGGTGAGGTAGCTAAGTCAGGCTCATGAGCAAATGGAACAGAGGAAGGGTATCTGGAAAAACAGAGAATCATAAAGCAGACTTACACAAAAAGATGCTTAGCAGAGAGTCCTTACAGCCCACAATAAAGAGGGAAAAAGAGGGAGAGAAGCTGCCTTGATTTCTGCTGCTTTCCAAATCCTGCTTCCAGACCTAGTGAATGGCAGCTGTATTTTCTCCTTTGAATTCTAAAAGGATTCCCTTGTATACTTACAACTTAGGCATTTTACTTATGCTAACTTAAGTAGTACTTAAGAACAGTCATCTTTCAATAAAGAGCAAATAGGTTTTGCCATGTCTAATTCTGTAATTCTATGATGACATTTTGCATACAACTCATATGCAGAAATAAAGTTAAACCAAACTTTTACCTTCATGAGAATCCTATAATGTAGGTACTATTATTATCACTGTTGTACAAATGAGAAAGCTGAGGCACCAGAGAAGTTAAGTAACTTGCCCAGTGTCATCCAATTAATGTTTAATGTCATTCAGTTAGGATTCAAACACAGCTCCAAAGATCCCTGCACGGCTCCAAAGATCCCTACTCCTAAGAATGATAATTTACAGCACATCAATCATTTTTCTATGATTCAAAATCATCATATTTTAGAGAAAGCTTATGATAACTCATAATTTATTTAGAAGTTACATTAAGCAGAGTAAATAAAACAATACAGCCATTAGAAGGAACTTGAGAAAACCATAAGCATTTCGAATTATGAGCTTAATATGCAGATTTAAAATAACAAAACCTTTAACCTTCTTTTACAGAATGCCTCATTGACCATCCTTTCTCGGAGGAGTTATAAAGAAGATTGATATATTATAAAATCATTATGAAAATTAGGAGATTTATTTTAATTTTCCAATGGATAAGCAAACATGAACTAGACAGTAATGAGACAAAATATTTATTAAGCACTCAAGAGACTCTGAGTAACAGTTCTTGCACAGCTGAGAATCTTTTTGCAATTTAAAATAATTTCATATATAGTCTTCATTCCTCTGTAATATATATTTAGTTAAAACATAAGAAGCTAAGACTATTATGTGATTAAATTAAAATTTTAATGGTTTTTTAAACTAAAATTAATATCATTTTAAGATAAAACCAAATATAATACCTAAAATTAAGCTTTAAAATTTTAATGACCAACAACATAGCAATAATTAGCAGTTCTGTGTTTTGGACCATTAAGAATTAGACAATAATAGTCTGCCATTTCTACTCTGAACCTAACTCTGTAAGGCACAGCAGAAAACAAGGGAAAAACAGCTGTCACAAAGAGTGTACAACCTGGCTTGAAAAACAAAAGGTACTCACATGAAACAAGTGCAGGGTAAAAATAAGAGTATTCTTTGTTATTTATTTGTGCCTTAAACCTATTAAAAATTAGCTGAGTCAACTTTAAATGGCAGCATATAATCTAGCTGTATATTATATGGTATAAAATATTAGTCCAACAGAGAAAATAGATAATGAGGATTAAGAGTCAAAGAAGGTGTCTTGTAGCAAGAAAATAAATCTTTACCTTATCCTTACAAGATGAGTATTTCAATAAACAGAAAGAAGAGAAAGGTCAACATTTAATTATAGAGAAGCATCATAGACATCAGTTTGGAGACAGGCAGTATTATGTTGTGATTGTTCTCCCAACATCCATTCCTGGCACCATTAGCTCCATGGGTAGGAGCTAATGATCCCAGTTCTAGGAATGAGTCCTACACTGGCCCCAGGTAATTGGTAATTCCATTCTTCATCCCACAGTCACTGGACCAGATTTTCTAGGCCTAAGCCAATTAGCACACTGTGTCAACTCATCTGAGTGGTTCAAAAGGAAGACTTTTGATCCTGATGTAGGAAGGAAGGCTTTCTGTCACATTGATCATAAATGAAGCAGTATGTGGCCCTACTAGGAACAAGCAACCATTCTATGACATGACAGGATAGAAGGCAGAACAAACAAACATTTTTTTAAAAAAGCTTGAGTTGCTGGTTATTATAATTATTCTCAAGTATTGAAACACAAAAAGTGTGATTCTTCATAATCATGGCAAATAGAGATGCTTTCTACCAAAGAAGTATTGTCAGCATATGGTACCACTGATTTGTGATTCTGTTTACAGTCCCTAAAATGTGGCATCTATAAAGAGGAATTTTGCTTTCCAGTTGCATAATACTCTTGTTGATAACATATATCAACAATGAAGAAAATACAGAGAGGGATTTGCAAAACGCTTCTATTGTGTATAATATGTACAACCTATTGACTTCAATGATCATCACTTCATTAAAAGTGTAGCAAGTTTTTATCTCTATCTCAAAGATATTTTGAGAGTCAGAGATTATAAAAGTGGTATGTTATGATAATATCCAATGATATTTCAGGAAGAATATAAGCATAATTGCACTAAAATGAAAATCACTACTAAGCCAGTAAATGACCAAATTTATACTCTTTTTCAAAAAATAAGTTTTATTAATGTGTTTTAGTTTCTAAAACACCCAGAATACTACTCATAATGCTGCTTTAATCAATCAGAGTTTCTCTGAATCATTTTCTTTCCTAACACAGTCGGAACATTTGGAGTGGCACAGCGTAAACAAAATCAAAATAAAAGAGTAAGTTTATATAACTCCTATTTCAAATAAGTACAATGTAAATAATCCATATTCTTTTGATTTAAAGTCAGTTACAGTATTAATTCACCTAGCTAAATTTCTTATTTTTCCTTTGAAATCTAAATAGTCCCTTTACTACTTGCAGTCAGTAGTATCTAACTGAAATTTAGGTCACCCTACAGCCCTCTTTTTTTCCCCTATTCTAGTTTCCAAATCTCTAAGTTTTATCATTTTAATTTCAGTCAGCACAATATATACATGCACAAAATCAATACTCAATTTGATAGATACAGGACAAATTTTAACCAACTTTATCTCAATCAAACCTTTTCCCAAATGTTATCTTTCTTTTAAATACCCTCTAATGCTCAATGTTTTAAAGTTCTTTTCATTTTGCTCCCAATACCTCTCTTCACATTGTCAACAATAGCTTGCACATTTTTTCTTATTTTTCATTTGGAAATTTTGGGCATTGAATAAGCCACAGCAATTGATTCTTTTTTCACCTAAATTACAACTTGAAACTTTTTTTTTTTAATGTGTAGAAATAACGTCTTACAACTACAAACAATGCTACTTAACCCTCACATGCCAACAGCTCTGGTTTATTCAACTTTCATAATATACTTGCTTTTTGAATAAATTTTAAAGAGAAATTTTAAAAATTCAATAATAATTTTTTTTCAATCTCTAAAATCAGTAGTTTTTCTAAACTTCTGAAGTAATCTCCTCAACATATTAAATCTAAACATTATAAGAAATGGTAACCTTATTTTTTCTAAAGATGTTTATAGAGATTTTTGCTAAACTTCCAAAAATGTCACCCAACAACTTGTTAATATAGCAAAACCAACTTTATTTGGAATTTCTGCACTAAAGGAGAACACCATCTTGAGAAAGTTTTAGCAGTATCTCAAAAGAAGGCTATCAGCACTGAGATTGTTATAAGATGGTGAGGTCTGAACCCAGGTGATTTAAGGTAGGTCTTTCAAGACAGGGAACTGATTAGGATTGGATAAAAGTTTTTGGTATATTCATTTAGGATTAGTAGACATAGCACAGTGAGGGTCTTGAAGCAAATCTTAAAAAATAAGCCCTTGTTTGATAAGTGAGCAGTTCTCCCAGGTCACCAGATGCCCAGGTCACCAGATTATGTCCAATAAATTGGTCTGTAGGAAAGTTCTGAAACAAACAGTGAATTTATATATTGGTTTATAGTTTTATCTCTCCCAGACAAAATTTTCCTGGAACAAACAACTAGGTCAGGTCGACATAGTCTAAAATCTTACCAAATTCCTGTTGATGCAGATGGTCTTGTTTCTCAATTCTCCATCATGGTCATTCTTCAGCCTGATCTGGAAAACAGATGGTTATCACATGGGGGAGATGATTACATAGATGTTTGTACAGTCATCATTACATACCTGAATTCTGTTGGTGGTCATTTCAACCACTGCATACACCAGGTTTCCTTGTTCTTTTTGTTGGATTATCATTTGATGGAACAGTGGTTATGAAAAGCATTTAAGATGCTAGAGATTACACATTTGAACATTGTAGTACCACTGTGAAATACCAAGAATACTATGAACAGATTCTGTAATCTACACATAAGCCAAGAGCCAGGGGTGGCCAAACTAAACTAAATCCAGAAAACAGACTGCATCCACCAAAAAGCCTATAGACTAAATATGTGCATTTTAGTCAAATTACCTAATTTTATAATGTTCTTATTGGTTTCCTGGACCTTCTTATCAATATTAAAATTATCAGAAATATCTATGGGGGTAAAAAGAATATTCTTTTTCCTAAAATGGTACACATAATACCTCTACAGTCCACTTATGTCTATGGACTCTATTTTTGAACAGAGAAGTTGTTCTATTGATTTCTATGAACTTACTGACATTGTCTAACTCTCCTTTCAATATCTGAACCATAACATGTTAATATTTTCCCCATCATCCATGCCTCTAATAAAAAGTGATATAAAGAGGCTTGAAAGCAGAAGAAAACCATCTATAATTTCCCTGTGTAGTTACGGTTTCATATCTTAGTAAAGACATAGTTATTTTCTTCTTTGAAACAAGCTGTGTAGTTACCTTTTTCTGAGAAGGAAAAATAGCAATCAAAATGTAGCCAGAGTGATAGCAAAGACTACCTGAGTAGCCTGACACAAGCATTAATTTACAAAGATAAGCTCCTGTCTAAGTTACTGATAATATTCAAAAGGCTTTTGTGCCACAGATTCAATACCTGTGGTAGGGAGCTTCCCAAATAACAAGCTCTCGGCCAAAATACCCCTTCATTGACGCTAAATTGTATTGTATGGTTTTGACACTCTTTAGAGATAATTAGGTGCCAGATAGGAGAACATGCAGTAAGGATGTCATGAAATAGATGAAATGTTATATTTTATAAAGAATCCAAAGATTTACCTACATAGGAAACCTTGTTGGTAAAGTCTGTAAACATGAGAGACAGGTATTAAATGCATTCCACATTTTCCCTTTCTGAGTCTAGCTCATTTCTGAGTCTAATTAATCTGAGATGTATATCTGAAGTACAGTCCAAAATTAGTAAAGAAATAGCCAGTCTCATAGTATGACCTTTTAAAAGTCCATGTGGTAAGAGGCAATGACTGCTGGGAGGTGTTAACTTCATTGTCTTAAGGGCCAGAGTGAATAACCTTGGGCAAGGGAGACAAAAAATGTCAGATGATTTTGCAAGTTTGAGTTTTAAAATATGATTAGCCCTACCTAATTTACCTATGGTTTGAGAGTGATAGGCACAATGAAGTTTCTGAGTAAGTACAAAGCTTTACAAAATCTTCTAACAGTCCTAGTAAGATGAGTGTTGTATCACTGGAGGGATTGGAATTCCAGGTTGAGAACACAACAATGTGTTTGATACTCTCAGAACCACAGCTCTCTAGCAAGTAAATATTTCAGCTCACTCTAAGCATTAGCAAATACTGATAAGGACATATTCAAAACCCATAGAAGAAAGTAGGTTATATAGACTCTTTGAAGACGTTGACACGAAGTTCTTGTCCGAATTGGTATGGGTTCTTGTCCATATCGTACATTTATAGACATCTACCAGAGACACCCTCAGCAATCCTAGTAAAAATTTCTTCACTTACATTGACTGACTATAGTGATCAATTTGTCCTTGTTGTAGTAGATGATTTCATGTAAAATTTTTGGCAAGGTTTCAGTTGAGGTCCTCTGGTATCATCAAGTATCTACTCTAAAGTGTCAGAGAATATCCTCTTGAAATTTACAACCAGATTTTTTCCAGTAACTCTTTTCAGTTTCTGGGGTCAATCACTGGCATTCTACAATAGCTTATTTCAACCTTTCAAAAGAATTGGCTTCAAGGATTATCATAGTGCCCAGAATCTTAGTGAGGGCTATCTGCCTGCCATACTGATTATGTAGGCATTTCCTTTAACTCCATGCTATATGTTTTTGCATAGCTTCAACTTTTATGATAGCCAACTGTCAGGAAGTTCTAGAATATTTAAAATTTATTTAATCTGTTAACCATTTCTATCTGGGGTCTTAGTCAGCTCATGCTATCATGACAAAATACCACAGACCGAGTGGATTAAACAATAGAAATTTATTTTCTCACAGTTCTGGAGCCTGGAAATCCAAAATCAGGCTGCCAGCATAGGCAGGTTCTGGTGAGAGCTCTTTTCTTGGCATGTTGATGGAGCCATATTTCTGTGTGCTCACATGGCCTTCCTCAGTAGAGAAGAGAAAGCAAGGTCTCTGGTGCCTCTTTTTATAAGGGCATGAATCCCATCAAAAAGTCTCCACCCTCATGATCTCATCTAAACTTAATTTCCTCCCAAAGGCTCTACCTCCAAAAACCATCATATTAGGCGTTAGAACTTCAATATTTGAATTTTGGAGGGACACAATTCCATAGCAATGGTTAATTGCTAAGATTAAAAACATTTATTAATACGTTGCACCCATTAGGATAGCTGTTGTCAAAAGTATGGAAAATAACAAGTGTTGGTGGGGTTGTAGAGAAATTAGAACCCCTATGCATTGCTGGTGGGAATGTAAATGGTGCTGTCACTCTGGAAAATTGTTTGGCTGTTCCTCAAAAAGTTAAGCATAGAATTACCATATAACCCAGAAATTCCACTCCAAGGTATATACTCCAAAGAATTGAAAGTAGGGACTCAAACAGATATTGTACACCAATGTTCATGGCCGGATTATTCCCAATAGCCAAAAGGTGGAAACGACCCAAGTGTCCATCAACAGGGGAATGGATAAACAAAATGTGGTATAGACATATAATGAAATACTAATCAGACATAAAAAAAGAATGAAATTCTGATACATGCGACCTTGAAAACATTATGCTTAGCGAGATAAGCCAAACACAAAAGAACAAATGCCATGTAATTCCTCTTATATGAGTTACTTAGAATAAGGAAATTGATAGCTATAGAAAGTAGAATACAGGTTACAAGAGCTGGGAGCAGTGGGGAACAGTTAGTGGGTACAGAGTTCCTGTTTGGGATGATGACAAAGTTCTAGAAATAGATAGTGGTAATTGTTGCACAACATTGTGTATGTACTTAATGCCACGGTTATATATACAGATATAGAGTAATATATAGAGACAGACACTACAATTTTTAAAATGTTGTTTCCAAAGCATTCCAAAATTGTAGACTTATCCAGTGGCTTACCTGCTCTGAGGGTATAAATCAACCTTGTCTTTGGCTATTGTCAAGCTCTGGCAAGTGCAAAAAATTCTACCATCAAGGCTAAATTTACTTCTGATTAGGTATATTTTAGGAGTGAATTGATATTTGTCATGGAATACACTGCCTGATATTTTCCAGTTTCAGAGGTAAGAGATGACCCATCAACAAACATTACTGAATCAGAATATTCTAGGGCAATTTATAATAAACCTGTTCAAACATAGTCAGTTATTGAACGAAGCTAAACAATTGTGGGATTACCTTCCTTTGGGTAATGAAAGAGGTTAGTAGGATTTAAAATATTACAAAAATGGACAGAATTGGTGAAGGAGAAAGTAATAAAATTTCAGGAGTTAAGCCTGCTTGCTGAGAAATGGGATGTATTTTCAGTAAGTAACACAGATTACACACCGCAAAAAAAAAAACATCAAGCTTAAGAAAGATCCTAAAACTCAGTCAGTGAAGCCTCCACTTGTTTGGCTGCTGCTGCTGCTTACACAAGATTATGGATCTAGGGAAAGGCTGAAATAAGTAATTTGTCTGTGATTATTCCCATGGCTTTGGATCAGAACACTAAGGGATTTCCCAGAGCATTCATACACAAATAGGTAGAGAGTTTATAATTAGAAAGGCCCATAGTCTGAGGCTTTTGAAGACGTAATTTTATGTCACAAAATGCCTATTAATATATAGATTCCCAGAAAACAGTTTCAGCTACCAAGGACTAAATAAGTCACATAAAGATGAGATGATTTTTTAAAAGCTAGGAATCCATTGCTTGCAGGTGCCAGTGAAAACTAGAAAACCTTTTAATTATTTCTTAGTAATCAGTCTAGGAAAATTTTGAGTGGCTTGTAACCTATCAGTGGTGAAGAATGTACTCCCCTTAAGATAAATTATGTCCCAGATAATGCACTGTGTTTTGACAAAATTGTAATTTTGGGGGGCAGGAAATGATATAACCATTCTGAGCTAGAACATTAAGTAAATCAAAATCAGCCTTCAAGCTCAACTTGTCTTTAGAACATAGCAAAAGTTAGTCAACATACTAAGAAAAATTTGCAGTACTGAAGTTCCTTGTTAAGCACCTGTGAAAAATGGAAGGGTGACTCCATAAACCTTCAACTGCCCAGGTAAATATTTTAACTTTCCTAGGAGAAAACAAACAAATAAACAGGTATTGACTATTTTTAATCTAAAGGGACACTAAAAAAAGCAGAACAAAGTTTATAATGATGGCATTGAAGATTAAATAGTATTGGGATTTGGTACCACAGGAAAGCAGAGATTGACTTTTATTTGGGCTTAAGGTCCTGAACAATCTATATCCTCACCCATTCATTTTCTTGGCTAAATGAATTGGAGTGGTACAAAGACCAGTATAATGTATGACTAATATTCTTTGCCTACTTGGCTTTTAGCTATTGACTTGAGAACTTTCGTAGCTTCTGGTTTTGGAGGATATTATAAAAGCCTTGGATCAATCTGAACCTTAACTAGTTCATCCCCAACAATTCTGCAAATATCAGTAGAATTTTTGCCCATAAAGAATCTAGCATGAAGATCTTCAACCTGGGCTTCATGTAGATACAAAAATACTGGAAAGTCAAAGTTTAGTTTAGCTAAAAATCTATAATCTGATTATCAACAGGGGAATTCTAAAAGACTTGAAGAAAAAGATAATTGGGAGAGTTTTGTTTGTTTGTTTTACTTTCTACTAATTTTGCTGTGAAACTAAAACTGCTCTAAAAGGGAGAATTTTTAATTTAGCAATTCCACAGCTTTTGTAAATCATTCTGGTTTCCTGTGCAATTCAGAGGCTTCTTAAGTAGTAATTCTTATGGCCCATTTAGTCCTTTTTTAATCCAATTTTTGTATATAAGATTACTCTTAACATATAAACCAATTGATATTGATCCAGAAACCTGGGTTTTATGTTTTTAAAGCTATTCTAAATGCTTTTGTAAATTTCTATCTCATCTACAGGTATGAAAGTCTTTGACAATGACTTTCATCTAATACTAGTCTTTTTTTTTCCATATCAGACTGGTATTGTGTTGATGTCCTAACAATGTTTGAGGGAGGCTCAGCTCACATATGAGCATTAAATCCTAACCATGATGCTTATAAATTACAAAAGGATCTAACGCTAGTCTTTTTATGAGTCTTAGGGCTTAAAGTCAACCAGAAAAGATTTGCCTTTTCTAAAGGGAATTTAACTTTCAGAGATGGGTCAGCTTTGGGGGTTTCTGGACACCCAAAAGATAAGAAAACCAGATCAGAAAGAGGAGTAGTGGTAGAGTATAATGGAAAAGCAAAAGATGAAGCAAGACAGTAAGACAAAATCCATTAAGTTCAAGTTCTGATTGGGACTATCTAAAAGAAAGAAATTTCAAGTTTTTCACATTTATTAGCCAAAGAAACTTTTAAGGAAGCAATTTTGGAATCAGAGTTTCTTTTGGGAGTTTCATTATAACAATAAAATCAATGTCCGCCATTGGATGTTTGGGATTTTTTTCCCTTTCTGTTCCAAAGTGCTTCTCAAATAAACAATTTTGTTCATATCGAAAGTTTCTCAAAGTGACTATGATCTAAATTATTCAAGGTGAAATCAGGTCATTTAGAAAGATATTTACAGAAATTGATGTGTAAAAATATGTAAGAGTTAGGAGAATTGACCAGAATGAGGCACAGACTTAGTTTAAAATGAGATAAACTCATGAGAATTCTAGCATCAACCCATCAACAGTATTGTTGATGCACCTTTTGTCTTGGGCCCTCAAATGGTTGGCCTTTACCCTTCTACATCACACAACCTCTCCCTTAGAATCAGTCAACTATACAGACTTCAAAGTCTGTGTAGATGGAAACTTTGGATGAGAGATATCTTCCAGAATCAAGTTCTCATGGGAAGCAAACAAGACAAAACTAAGGAAAATTCTCATTAGACACTAATTGATAATAATGTAAGGCAAAATTTCTCCAAAAGAAACTGATTTAAGTGAAAACTTTCTGCAGTCCTCAGTCCCTGGGTCTGTTCTGAGAAACAGACTTATTCGGGCTTATGCTTATTCACTTTCTTCTTACAGAGTCACACACAGACAAAAACACACACACACACACACACAGAGCAAGGACAAAGATAAAGAGTAGAGTTATGAATAACAAAGCTGATTTTTCAACAAAGATAACAGCTTTCAAATCTGATCAGAAAATAATGAAAGCATTATTATACAATCTCCTCCAAAATTGTATTTCCTGGAAGAGAATATAAACTTAGCATTTCATGACAAAAGGAAAAAAAAAACAGATCAAAATCTTCCTCTCCGGCAGGAAGGTGAAAGAATCTCAGTGGAAGTACTGTTCCTGACTAAAAAATCTCAACCACAGTAGTGAGGTGAGAACTCAACTGAATGTCAGTGGAACTTCCAGATCTGCTCTCTCTAATATGAGAGACCTTAGGTGTGTATGTATACTTCAATTTAAATTTAAAGCAGTTAAAATTAAATAAAATTAAAACTGAGGTCCTTAGTTGACTAGTCATATTTTAAGTGCACATGTGACTAATGACTACCATATTGGATGTTTCTATGATTGCATAAAGTTCTATTAGACATTAGTGTTTCTGATTGTTGAACCCACCAATATCTCACCAAGCAACTTGGTAATCAAATAAATTTATTTGAACTCACTATAACAGGGAAAGCATCCCTTTGAAAGAATCTTAGCAGTGTCTCAGAAAAGAGAAATCAAAATTGTTTCTGGGATTAGGTGTTTAGGGCAAGATTTTTGAGGCAGGAAATTGGTTCAAAATGAACATAGTTTGTGATAGAATAGTTTCAATTTGGTAGACAGCAATGTGAGGGGTTTTGTTTTGTTTCGTTTTGTTTTGAGAAGGAGTCTCGCTCTGTTGCCTAGGCAGGAATGCAATGGCAAGATCTCAGCTCACTGCAACCTTCGCCTCCCGGGTTCAAGTGATTTTCCTACCTCACCCTTCCTAGTAGCTGGGATTACAGGTGCCTGCCACCACACCTGGTTAATTTTTGTTTTTTGTTTGTTTGTTTTTTGAGAAGGAGTCTCGCTCTGTCACCAAGCTGGAGTCCAATGGCGTGATCTCGGCTTACTTCAACCTCTGCCTCCCAGGTTCAAGCTATTCTCCTGCCTCAGCCTCCCAAGTAGCTGGGACTACAGGCGCGTGCCACCACACTCAGCTAATTTTTGTATTTTTAGTAGAGACGGGGTTTCACCATGTTGGCCAGGATGGTCTCGATCTCTTGACCTCGTGAACCACCCGCCTCAGCCTCCCAAAGTTCTGGGATTACAGGGGTGAGTCACCACACCCAGCCTAATTTTTGTATTTTTAGTAGAGACCAGGTTTCACCATGTTGGCCAAACTGGTCTTGAATTCCTAACCTCAAGTGATCTGCCCACCTGGGCCACCCAAAGTGCTGGGATTACAGGCATGAGCCACTGTACCTGACCAATGTGAGCATTTTTAAATGAACTTTGATAAGTAAGCTCTTATTTAACAAACTGTTTCTTCCCAGGTAAGCAGACTATTGTTTCTGATAAAACTGACCTGCAGGAATATCCTGAAATAAACACTGACATTATTTCTGGTTTGCAGTCTTATTTTTAGCAAGCAAAATAAACTGAATCAAGATTAATTAATTCATGTTCACGGCACTCTCATATTATTTAAACACAAAGATAACATGTTCAAAAGTATATTAAAATAGGAAATCTTTTCCCTTCTGTAAAAACAAAATAAAAACATTAAAACTGCACCCCAAAACATTTTCACATTTTAATTTGTAAAATTAATTAATAAAATAGTATCATGAAAGCATCAAGAGAAGAAAAAAATCTATAATAAAATCTAAAATACTAACAATAAGAATAAGCCTCTTATGAGAGTATAGAGTTTGGACTTTCTGCAGACTCTAATTCTAATGGGTCACAACTAAGAAAGATCCATATAAACTAAAATTGTGCATTTAAGGGAATTCCAACCAACTCGATCCACTTTTTATAATTTAGGCAAACTAAATGAAAGCTTCCCCAGACTAGCAGTTATTTAACAACATGATTTTAAGAGAGATATTTCTAACTCAGAGTGCAATCTGCAAGCAAAAGTCAGCTGGAAAGGATTTTTAAAACAGCATCCTCTAAGACCAGTTCTCCACAGATCAATAAATAATCTGAATAAGATATAGAAAAATATTTTTAAATAATAATTAAATGACAATATTGAGAAAACTGGAAAAGATGAAAGTAAAAAGAGGGAAGTAAATCTTACCCCAGAATAGACCTTACAGGTATATGAAGATGTTACCTCTTATCAAGGAGAATCTTTTGTCATTTTACTTATTGAGGTGTTGTAGAATGAAGACGCAAAACAGAAAAATTTAAGAAAATTTTAAGTGTGGCACACAAAAGATCAGATATGATGGAGCACTGCACAAAATGGTGAAGACCAATGGACTAGATGAATGAGGAGTAATAACAGATATAATATAATGTATTAAGATTCTCCAAAGAAACAGGATCGATAGGATATACATAGAACATGAGGGGATTTATTATAGGTATTGACTCACATGATTCTGGAGGCTAAGTCTCATGATCTGTCTACAGGCTGGAGACCCAGGAAAGCCAGTGGTATAATTCACTTTAAAGGCCAAAGAACCAGGAGCACTGCTGTCTAACAGCATCAAAGGGAGGAGATGCATATCCCAAGAAGAGAGAATAAATTCAGTTTCTCCACCTTTTTGTCCTATCCAGGGCTTCAACAGATTTGGTGAGGGAGGATCTTCTTTACTCAGTTTACCAATTCAAGCGCTAATATCTTCAGCAAACACCCTCACAGACACACCCAGAAATAAGGTGCTTTGGTTTTTTTGTTTGTTTGTTTGTTTTGAGACACAGACTTGCTCTGTTGCCCAGGCTAGGGTTCAGTGGCACAATCTCGGCTCACTGCAACCTCTGCCACCTAGGTTCAAGCAATTCTCGTGCCTCAGCCACCGAGTAGCTGGGATTACAGGCATGCACCATGACGCCTGGCTAATTTTTGTATTTTTAGTAGAGACAGAGTTTCGTCATGTTGGCCAGGCTGGTCTCAAACTCCTGGCCTCAAGTGATCTGCCCACCTTGGCCTCCCAAAGTGCTGGGATTACAGGCATGAGCCACCACGTGCAACCAGAAATAAGGTTTTACCAGCTATGTGGGCAGCCCTTAATCAAGTCAAGTTGACACATAAAATTAAACATCACATATACCTTGAAAATAAATATTTTGTTTTACAGTCATATGATGTTCTTAAGAGAAGTTTTGCATCTAGTATGAGAAGAAAAGTGGACAGAGGAATTTCCTTTGGCTGGGGATATAACTGTATTTAGAGAGAAGCTGGTTTAAAAAAATATTATATAGAAAGAAAAACCAGATATGATTTTGAGCCTTGTCCTAGCTTCAGAGGAGGTGGTCAATATAGTTACAGTTACATAAGGATGAAGTGCTGTAAACCAATATGCACAGCCTAAGGTATGTAAATAAATATTCAAATTTGGCTTGTGTCAAGTCTTTCTCTGCAATATCCAGAGATCCAAACTAGTAGTTTTAGAGTGGATCTCAGTGATATTAGCAACTATTAAGTAAGAGTGAAAAGATAAACTGAAGAACTATTCAAATCATTATTTGAATAATATAACTCATTCAATACTATTCAACGGACAGAAGCAATACATTATTGAAATATTACAGAAAAAATTGATCAGTGAAACAAGTGATAAACTTGAGGAACACACATAGAATAATGAAGAAAATGAATATGAATGTGATTTATGAAAGAGATAACATGGTACAAATTTAGAATTAATGGAATCAAAAATAAAACTAAACAGTGATACCTATAAATGTTTTTTAAAGAACTGCCGGGTCTGACTCGCAGACCCTGGTTGAGTGATGGATGAAAAAATGTATGCAGATACAGGTTTTTTTGCCTGGCCGTGTAGCTAGGGGACAGGGCCACTCACAGACTTCCAAGAGGATGCCGTGAAGAGTCACAGCGGCTGCAGCCTCGACAAGCCGACAAGCCGGCACTGCGGGCATTTTATGAAGTACAGATTTAATGACAAAGGCCTTGAGTTAACACACTTGTGGGTAATTAACATGGTCACCCCCCACCCACCTTCCAGAGAGAGCAGTCCTGCACATGGATGATTAAAGGCCAGGTTCTGAGGCCCAAGTAAACTAACTTATCTAGATCAATTTCCTTACACTTCCTTATTATCTACTCTGACAGAATTCAGTTGCCTTCAGCCAAATCCTTACCCAAAGCTTTTGCAAAACCTCCCAGCCTTCCAAGAAGGTTTGCGTCTTTTCCTTATAATTTTTATAACTTTTCCCACACAACCCTGACTGAACTCCTACATCTCCCCCTTTTCTGTCTTTTGCATCAGGTTTAGTTGATTGAAGAGAGCAAATGTGTGAAACAACAGGTTTGTCAGGTGCAGCGGTTGTAACTCGTACTGCAACTTTGCATGCCAGAATTAGCAAATAACATAAGACAAACGTGAGTATAATTAGCAACATTCTTCTCCAATCAAGGAGTGATCCCCCCACAGGAATAGGGGTCTATCCAGGAGAGATGATCTCACACACCCTTCCATATGCCTGTTTGTTGGGCATGTAGATCTATGGCGTTTAGGGATGCTAGAATTTTAGTTTTAAGTTACTTTACATCTGCTGTTAAATTATCATGAAAGGTTCCCCAGAGGTATTGTTTCACCTCATCCCAACTATGTATTGATTGATTCCAAAGTAGAGAGGTGACACAGATGTGCTTAAGCTCCTGGTCACAGTTCAATTGCTGTTGGAAGGCCAGTGCATCTCGTTGCTCCCCCACATATTCCAAGGCAGCCTTGAGGGCTTGCAGACATGTGAGAATCTTTTGATCTATACCCCACTGTAAGAGAAGTTCATTAGACACATTTCTGACCAAATTATCTACAAAAGTAGCTGTTTGTACTGATTCCGTAATAGATGCTACAATAACACTGGCAGTTGCTAGGATGACTATGGCTGAGACTATAAAGGCTATAAGTGTAACTATGAATCTTTTGTGTCTGACCTGGGACAAGGCACATTCTAAGGTGGCAAGGGCAGAGGAACCTTGCTAATAGCGTGTTAAATTGACTGGTAGGAAAGCCTCAGATTGTCTCCTCAATACCATGACACTAGTAATATTTAAATTAGATATATTATAATTAGTGATACAAGAGGCATACCAAGCCTGTCCCTGAACTTGGGTCACAAACATGGAGTTTTGGGGTGTAATGGAAATATTGGTCCCCACAAGGAAAACGTACGGATGGGTGGTGCAAATCAGGCACTGATAAGTGTGATTATGAAAAAAGGTCATAGTGTAATTGTGACTGGAATTATGATATGTCCCATCCCAGGTGTTAAGGGGGGGTGCTAAGAAGTCCCAGGTGCCATAAAATGTCTTGGGGTGGCATGGACTCTACTTGGGGTCTGGGATATCCCATCCCCCTATCGGCCCAAATTATAGGGGAATGGGACATGGATACGAAACTGTCATTGATGCCATAATAGATGCGGACATCAGTGCGATCGCCCTGCAAATGGCTGTGGGGGCTCCAGTCTAAGACGTTATAATTGCCTAGCTGGAGGCTATGGGCATGCACCCTGTGAGACACCTCCCAGCTAAAGTGGAATCCATTGCTTTCCCGGCTTTGTTCTTTAGCACAGGAAGGAATGTTTGGGAAAGTAGCATTGACTGCATTGCCCAGTTTGAGGACTCCTGAAACTAAGACTGTTAAAGCACTTCCTTTGCCATGATGTAGCCATAATTATGTTTGGGCAGGTACATAGTAACAGTTAGAATTTTTATAACTTACACACAGTGGGAGGATAGTGGAGTGATATGTAGTGTTACTGACACCTTAGTCCAATGTGTGCCATTAATGATGGATCCAACTGGGGGTAAATCTATCCCTCCCAGCCAAGCAGTTACATTATTAGAGGCTGGGAAGGGGGTGTCTGCCCAGGTGACGGGGCGGAAGAAAGGCGGATCTAAGAGATGAGCCCAATAGAGTGTAGCAGGTACAGGTTGCAGACAAAGCAAGGGGTCCTAGCCACACCATGGTATGGTTTGATGCATCATGCTGGAATCCAAAGAGGATCTGAGGGGGTGCGAACACAAGCATATCCTCTTCCCCACGTTAACAATTTATTTGGACCACACCATACATTACTGTTTGCATCTTTCCATAAAACTGCAGGTTTTATGTTTGAGAGGTTTTAGCAAAGTGCTTTCCTACAGCTGATTTAAATTTATCATCTAAATTTTAAAAATTAAGAGTAAATAAGGCTTGTGCTAATAGTGTTGCAGGGTCCTTACTCACATTACCACTTTTTTGTTTTCTGAGCATATTTTTAAGGGTGGGTTGGGTACGTTCTACTATGGCATGTCCTTGGGGGTTATACGAGATGCCTGTGGAATGTTGGATGTTCCACGTGTGACAAAGTTGTTGAACTTGTGAGCTGGCATAAGCCGGACCATTATCAGTTTTAATTTTTGTGGGCCGCCCCATAAATGCAAAAGTTAAAAGATGTCTAATGACATATCAGGTGAGCACTAATTAAGTGGGAATTGGTATCAATGGATACATGTACATATCTAAGTTTTCCAAATTCAGGGACATGTGTAACATCTGTTTGCCATAACTGATTAGGTTCTAGTCCCCCAGGATTAACACCTGTTGAAGGAGGGGATGTGCCTGTGAGCTGGCAATCTGGGCACTGCAGGATAATTTGTTTAGCTAGTCTCTGGGTAAGTTGAAATTGTTTAGATAAGTTTCTCCAGTTTTGGTGGAAAAAATGATGCAATTAGGTGGCTTGGTCAAGCTGTGATGTCATAACCTGTAGGTCTGCTTGATCATTGCCATAAGCCAATGGGCCAGGCAGTGAGCTGTGGGCCCAAATATGTGTAATAAGAATAGGATGTGTACGTTGATCTAGCAATTGCTAAAGTTGAAGAAAAAGTGCACACAGGGTGAGATCCAGAGTGGACTTAATGAAGGCTGTCTCAAGGTTCTGTAATAAACAGAGTAAGCAAAGTCACTAACAATATTGATGGGCTGAGTGGAAAAAGTTTCCAAGGCCAATATTAAGGCTCCAACCTCAGCTCTCTGAGTGCTAGTAAATCCAGAATGAGTGAGGGAATTATGCAATCTCTACCAGACAGCTGCTTTTCTGTGTATACCAGAGCCATCAGTAAACAGTATTAAAGCTTTAGGTATGGGGGAGTGAAGTATTTTTGTAGGCAAAACCACAGAAGTATGAGATAAGAACTGAGGTAGTTTATCAACAGGAAGGGCATGCTCTATATGGCTTGTGTAATCAGAGAGTACTATTTGCAGGCCTAAAGGGCAATACTGCTTCGAATTGCTTTATACTCAAAGGAATTCTGATGACATCAGGGTCATAACCTAGCAACTGATTGCATCGCCTGTGGCCTGAATAGATGACTTTACTAACCAGCTGGACATAGGGAGAGAGTGTTTTAGTCCTGGTATGTGAGCAAAAATCCCATTCTAGGAAGCATAGCCCTGGGGCCATCTGTCCTATTAACCCTGTAGGGGAATGTTTAGTGGGAAAAACAAACAACTGAACTGAATGTCGTTGATCTATGCAATCTAGTTGCCTCTGAGAAATAGCTTGCTCTACTTCCTCAATTTCCCTTTGTGCTACAAGAGTTAAATACCTAGGAGAGTCTAGGGCAGCATTGCCTTTTAAGATAGAAAACAGGTTCTGTAACTTATCAGTAGTATGCCCAAGGTGGGGTGAAGCCAGTTAATATCACCTAGTAATTTCTGATAATCATTTGAGGTGTGTGAGTTGCTAGTATTTAATTTAACTTTTGAGGTCTTACCGACCGGGAAGTTAGTATGTACCCAAGACATTTCCAAGGAGAGGACATTTGTACTTTTTCAGGTACTATGATTAAACCTCTTAAATGTGTATTCTTTACAACAGAGGCATATAAACTTAAAAGTACTGGCTCCATTGGGGCTGCTAGTAAAATATCATCTGTGAAATGAATAATCTTACAATTAGGAAATTCTTTTCTACTGGGGAATAAAGCCTGATTTACATGATATTGACACATGGTAGGACTGTTTAGCATCCCTTGAGACAGGGCTTTCCAATGAAATCAGTAAGCTGGCCTTTCATTATTAATAGCTGGTATTGTAAATGCAAATTTTTCTCTGTCCTGTTCTGCAAGGGGAATAGTACAAAAGCAGTCTTTTAAGTCAATAATGATTATAGGTCAATCTTGAGGAATTACCATGGGGGAAGGGAGCCTCTGTTGAAGGGGCCTCATAGGTTGCAAATTAGCATTAATAGCACGTAAGTCATGCAAAAGTCTCCATTTACCAGACTTTTTGGGAATGATGAAAATGGGCAAATTCCAAGGGCTGTTTGATGGTTCTATATGGCTGGCTTTTAATTGCTCCTCAACTAATTTATGGGCTCTTTGTAATTTAGCTCCCTTTAAAGACCACGGTTCTACACAAATTGGATCTTGAGAGAGCCATGTCAGGGGTAGGGGAGGGATAATAACAGTGGCCATTATTAGAAAGGGGTCTGCAGAGTGACCCCCTATTGGGCTAATAGGTCCTGTCCCCAAAGATTAACAGGGATGGGCATGATTAGAGGTTGTGTAACTGTTTTTCTCCTCTCCAAATCGCAACATGTTAGGGGGCATGTGTTCTGCTTGGCTGTGTGCACTTCTCCAGTGCTGACAATTTTTTGTTTCTGAGTGACCCAAGGCCAAGCTTCTGGCCAGTTTTGATCACTAATAATCAAAATATCTGCTCCTGTGTCCAATAACCAGTAAAATTCTTATTTCCAATTTTTAAGGTGATCATGATCAGTGATTAATTGATTCCAATATACTCCTATGGCTCCTGTGCTTCCAAAACTTCCCTTTCCCCATTCCCTTCCATGGGCATTGGGGACCCAGTATGGTAAAAGTAGTAACTGAGCTATCTTTGATCCGGGGGAAGAATATGCAGACCTTTACATTCCATCACAACTAATATTTCACTTTGATAATCACTATCAATTACCCCAGTGAACACATTAATTCCTTTACTGGATAGGCTTGATCACCCTAGGACTAATCCCATTGTTCCTGGAGGCAGTGGGCTCCAGATACCAGTTGCAGCCCTTTTAGGGTCTTCTCCTTCTCTTAGCACTAAATCATTGGGGCAAAGTAAGTCCAGTCCTGTGCTGCCAGTGGTGGCTGCTCTGAGAGAAGGACTGTGGGCTTTCCATCTGATCGAGGAAAGCTACTGGCATTGCCCCAGTTTGAAGCAGGGCCTGGGGCCGGCCCCCTCATGAGGTTTCCCACCTGGTTACTTATCGGGTTGCTGTTTTTATTAAATTTGGACCTGCATTGATTTGCCCAATGTTTCCCCTTTTTACATTGGGGGCATATAGAAGGGGGTTCTTTCCTTGAGTTACCTTGGTCTCTATTATTGGTGTATTCCCTCTTCATATGACCTGGCTCTCTGCATAGGAAACAATTTGGGTTTCTCTCCCTTTTCACTTTAGGAGGTCTTAATGCCATAGCCAATATTTTGGCTTTGTGTGTTTCAGTCCTCACCAGTTGACATGCTCATATAAGTTCCCCAACTGTGGCTGTCTTTCCTCTGATTGCCTGCATTACTTGCTGGCAGTCAACATTAGCATTTTCATAAGCCAATTGCAACAATAAGATATCAGCAGCCTTGGCATGACTAATTTGTCTCTTAATTGCCTGGGTTAACCGATTGATAAATTCAACAACTGGCTCTGAGGCCCTTGTCAAACATTTATAAACTGCTGAACTCCACTTCTGGGAATTCAGTCCAAAGCCGTGAGACAGCACAAAGACACTTGTGCATAGGCCTGGGAATGAAAATTTAGTTGTTGTTGTACATCAGCATGGGGACCCCTCCCCTGGAGCATAGCAGCTGTTATGCCTTGCCCGGCCACTTGATTCTGGTTGGCTTCTTGTTCACACAACTCATCATATTCTGCCCTCCAAAGGAGGTATTGGCTGGGCTCCAAAGTTGTTTTAGCTAGCACTGACCAGTCCCATGGGGTCATATGGAAGTTGTCTGCCATGGCATAATCATTCCTTTCATAAATGGGCTAGCAGCTCTGTTTTCTGTAATGCTCTTTCTTAGCTCTTTATAAGCGTTAAAAGAAATAGGTTTGGCCAGGTGCGGTGGCTCATGCCTGTAATCCCAGCACTTTGGGAGGCCGAGGCAGTCAGATCACGAGGTCAGGAGATCGAGACCATCCTGGCTAACACAGTGAAACCCTGTCTCTACTGAAAATACAAAAAACTTAGCCGGGCATGGTGACGGGTGCCTGTAGTCCCAGCTACTCGGGAGGCTGAGGCAGGAGAATGGCGTGAACCCAGGAGGCGGAGCTTGCAGTGAGCCAAGATCACGCCACCGCACTCCAGCCTGGGCAACAGAGCAAGACTCCGTCTCAAAAAAAGAAATGGGTTCACGTACCTGATTGCCTTGTCAATCTTGCATTACTGGGCAGGCTAAGAGCTCCCCTTCTAATGCCACTTGCCTAAGACAGGGTCCCATAGCTGCAGCATATCTCTTGTCTTTTTTCTAACTTATTGGAGGAGGGGGCTCTGGCAAAACCTCCATTTTCTCTTTGGTACTTTTGCCCGGAAACAGCAGGGCTGAGGGAGAAGGAGGAGGTGGTAAGGTAGCTGATGGTTCCTCCTCCCTTCCCTTTTTAGGCTCTTGTGTGTAGAGTGGGACCAGATCCACCCTAACTAAAGCCCATAACGTTAGAGATGCTACTGGGACCTGTTGCCCTTGTGCATGATGTTGTTTAAGATTTCTCCCCACTTGTTTCCAGAGCTCTAGGTCTAGCGTACCTTCTTCCAGGAACCATTAGTTATGGGAAACAAGTTTGCATTAGGTCCCTTAGTTGAGCCTGCAAAACCGAGGCTCCACTAGCTTTAAGCTGCTGTTTCAATACTTTTATATACTGTTGCTGTTGAACTGATAACTGTTGTCCCATGATGAAACCCTAGCCTGAACAATTCCCTTGAACTTGGAAATCCTGAGTGAGTACCAATGGCTTACTGATTTACTGATTGCGCAGTCTCTTCTTCATTTTTGAGGGTTCCGTTGTGATCCGTTGCAGCGTTCCTCACACGGGGCACCACCTGCTAGGTCTGACCCAGTGGTCAAGTGACAGATGAAAAAACGTATGCAGACACAGGTTTTTTGCCTGGCCATGCAGCTAGGGAACTGGGCTGCTCACAGACATCGAGGAGGATGCCATAAAAAGTCACAATGGCTGCAGCCTCAACAAGCCAGCCCTGCGGGCATTTATTCAGTACAGATTTAATGACAAAAGCCTTGAGTCAACACACTTGTGGGTAATTAACATGGTCACACCACCACCCACCCCCACCCAGAGAGCAGTCCTGCATGCAGATGATTAAAGGCCCTGTTCCAAGGCCTAAGTAAACTAACTTATCTAGATCAATTCCCTTATGCTTCCTTGTTACCTACTCTGAGAGAATTCAGCTGCCTTCAGCCAAATCCTTTCCCAAAGCTTTTGCAAAACCTCCCAGCATTCCAAGAGGTTTGTGTCTTTTCCTTAAAATTTTTATAATTTTTCCCACCAAGCTGACCAAACTCCTACAAAGAACCTGAAACCTGGAAGGTCTTAGGATGTCTTCAAGTAAAAATAAAAAGCACACTGTCATTTGAAGACACAGCCTAAAGAATTCAGAATCATGAAGGTTAGGATACTGCCAGATTTCTCAATTATAATAAAGCAAATTATAGGCTATGGAGTTGTATTTTCAGAATTATCAAGCCAGTGTTCTCATCCTGACCATGTTTGTAAATGTTCTTAAAAATCTGTATGCAAAATGCATTATGCATTGCATTTGTACCATTTCTAGTAAAGAGTCCATAACTTTCATCAGATAAAACTACACGACCATTACCCTTTTCTTGTTTATTTTGAGGAGCACCCATTTTGTATCTTTCTGGTGAAAATATCAAAGTGCCCTGTCTTTGATGAGCACCTAACCTGCCAAGAGATGAGCACGTAACCCAACATAAATGAATAGGTTTTTCTCTCCTCACCTCTCCTTCCCTCTCTCTCCCTGTCTCCCTCCCTATCTTCTCTCTTTCTCTTTTTATCTTTCCTCCTTCTCTTCCTCTTTCTCTCTCTCTCTTTCTCATTCTCTCTCTCCCTGGCTCCTTTTAATTTTAACTAAAGTTATGCAAATGCAGCAAATATAGTATAATAGTAGCCTCTGCAAAAGGTGCTATTAAAAGAATAAAAAGAAAAGCCACAAACTGGGAAAACACTTGCAAATCACATATTTGATAAAGGACTTATATTCAGTATATATAAATAACTCTTAAAATGTAATAATAAAGAAAAGCAGTCCAACTTTTAAGAAACAGGCAAAACATATAAAACTATAACCAAAGAAATGCAGATTACAATTACAATAAAATAATATTTTCACCATCAAATGACAAATTCTTTGTTCCGTGTTTCCAAGGACATGTGAGGACATGCACTCATACTTTCTTGTAGGAATATAAACTGGTAAAACTTCTAGAAGAAAAATCTCACATGATTCATCCTAGAGTTTTAAACATGTTCATACTTTTGGGTCATTTAGTTTCCTTTTGTGTAGCTAAAATAAGGAAATAATTAAATATGTGGTCAAATATCTGTATTTAAAAATATTCTTTATAGGTTTTTTTATGATAGCAGAGAATGGAAATAACTAAAGGCACAATAATAGGAAAATTATTGTATAAAATTATAAAATGTAGTACACAGACACATTACACAGCAGCCACCAAAACTTCTGCCTAACCAGAGAAAATGCTTCAGTTTTAATATTGAGTAAAATGATCATATTTCTTTAAGGATGTTAATATACTCTATCTACCTCAGCATAAGAAACTATCAAGACTGAAATGTAAAAAAGAAGTTACCTCTTGTTACTTAAAAAACATGAGATTCTGGATAATGTTTTTAAATTGTAGATAGTTTTTGTCTCCATATTTTATTTTACTATGCTTTTTATAAAAAACATTATAAAAATAAACATTGTAGAAACAAACATTTCTTTTATGTGAGAAAATAAATGTTTCATTTATTTTAAGTAGTAAAGCAACTTTCACAGGGAAAAATGAAATTAAGCTGTAAATCTTCTGAGAATACTATAAATACCCATATGCAAATAAACTAGAAACTATAGAAGAAATGGATAAATTCCTGGACACATACACCCTCCCAAGACTAAACCAGGAAGAAGTTGAATCTCTGAATAGACCAATAACAGGTTCTGAAACTGAAGCAATAATTAATAGCCTACCAACCAAAAAAAGTCCAGGACCAGACAGATTCACAGCTGAATTCTACCAGAGCTACAAAATGAGCTGGTACCATTCCTTCTGAAAGTATTCCAATCAATAGAAAAAGAGGGAATCCTCCCTAACTCATTTTATGAGGCCAGCATCATCCTGATACCAAAGCCTGGTAGAGACACACACACAAAAAAGAGAATTTTAGGCCAATATCCCTGATGAACATCGATGTGAAAATCCTCAATAAAATACTGGCAAACCAAATCCAGCAGCACCTCAAAAAGCTTGTCCACCACAATCAAGTTGGCTTCATCCTTGGGATGCAAGGCTGGCTCAACATATGCAAATCAATAAATATAATTCATCGCATAAACAGAACCAACAAGAAAAACCACATGATTATCTTAATAGATGCAGAAAAGGCCATCGACAAAATTCAACAGCCCTTCATGCTAAAAACTCTCAATAAACTAGGTATTGATGGAACATATCTCAAAATAATAAGAGCTATTTATGACTAACCCACAGCCAATGTCATACTGAATGGACAAAAACCGGAACCATTCCCTTTGAAAACGGGCACAAGACAAGGATGCCCTCTCTCACCACTCCTATTCAATATAGTGTTGGAAGTTCTGGCTAGGGCAATCAGGCAACAGAAAGAAATAAAGGGTATTCAATTAGGAAAAGAGGAAGTCAAATTGTCCCTGTTTGCAGATGACATGATTGTATATTTAGAAAACCCCATCATCTCAGCCTCGAATCTCCTTAAGCTGATAAGCAACTTCAGCAAAGTCTCAGGATACAAAATCAATGTGCAAAAATCACAAACATTCCAATACACCAATGATAGACAAAGAGAGAGCCAAATCATGAGTGAACTTCCAATCACAATTACTACAAAGAGAATAAAATACCTAGGAATCCAACTTACAAGGGACATCAAGGACCTCTTCAAGGAGAACTACAAACCACTGCTCAACAAAATAAAAGAGGACACAAACAAATGGAAGAACATTCCATGCTCATGGATAGGAAGAATCAATATCATGAAAATGGCCATACTGTCCAAAGTAATTCGCAGATTCAATGCTATCCCCATCAAACTACCACTGACTTTCTTCACAGAATTGCAAAAAACTACTTTAAAATTCAAATGAAACCAAAAAAGAGGCCACATAGCCAAGACAATCCTAAGTAAAAAGAACAAAGCTGGAGGCATCACACTACCTGACTTCAAACTACACTACAATTCTACAGTAACCAAAACAGCATGGTACTGGTACCAAAACAGATATATAGACCAATGGAAAAGAACAGAGACCTCAGAAATAACACCACACATTTACAACCATCTGATCTTTGACAAACCTGACAAAAACAAGCAATAGGGAAAGGATTCCCTATTTAACAAATGGTGCTGGGAAAACTGGCTAGCCATACGTAGAAAGCTGAAACTGGATCCCTTCCTTACATCGTATACAAAAATTAACTCAAGATAGATTAAAGACTTAAATGTAAGACCTAACACCATAAAAACCCTAGAAGAAAGCCTATGCAATACCATTCAGGACATAGGCCTGGGCAAAGACTTCATGACTAAAACATCGAAAGCAATGGCAACAAAAGCTAAAATAGACAAATGGGATCTAAGTAAAGAGCTTCCGCACAGCAAAAGAAACTATCATCAGAGTGAACAGGCAACCTACAGAATGGAATAAAATTTTTGCAATCTACCCATCTGACAAATGACTAAAATCCAGAAAATACAAAGAACTTAAACGAATTTGCAAGAGAAAAACACAACCCCATCTAAAAGCGGGCAAAGGATACGAACAAACACTTCTCAAAAGAAGACATCTATGCAGCCAACAGACATATGCAGAAATGTTCATCATCATTCATCACTAGAGATATGAAAATCAAAACCACAATGAGATACCATCTTATGCCAGTTACAATGGCGATCATTAAAAGGTCAAAAAACAACAGATGCTGGAGAAGATGTGGAGAAATAGGAATGCTTTTATACTGTTGGTGGAAGTGTAAACTACTTCAACCATTTTGGAAGACAACGTGGCAATTCCTCAAGGATCTAGAACTAGAAATACATTTGACCCAGCAATCCCATTACTGAGCATATACCCAAAGGATTATAAATCATTCTACGATAAAGACACATGCATACGTATGTTTATTGCAGCGCTATTCACAATAGCAAAGACTTATAACCTAACCCAAATGTCCATCAATCATAGACTGGATTAAGAAAATGTGGCACATATACACCATAGAATACTATGCAGCCATAAAAAAGGATGAGTTCATGTCCTTTGCAGGGACATGGATGAAGCTGGAAACCATCATTCTCAGCAAACTATCACAAGAACAGAAAACCAAACACTGCATATTCTCACTCATAAGTGGGAGTTGAACAATAAGAACATATGGACACAGGGCAGGGAACATCACACACCGGGGCTGGCTGGAGGAGGGATAGCATTAGCAGAAATACCTACTGTAAATGTCGAGTTGATGAATGCAGCAAACCAACATGGCACATGTATACCTTTGTAACAAACCTGCACGTTGTGCACATGTACCCTGGAACTTCAAGTGTAATAAAAAAAAGTAAAAAAACAGAAAGTAAATCTTGATTTGTATTAATCATTTTAACACAAAGATTAAGAATAGCAAGCTCAAATCAGCATGTTCTCCCAGAGAACTGAGTTAAGTGACTTAATTTCCAGCTTCATGTGAATACACTTTTTTTTTATGACAGGGTCTCACTCTGTCACCCAGGCTAGAGTGCAGTGGCACAATCTCAGCTTACTGCAACCTCTGCTTCCCAGGTTCAAGTGATCTGCCCCGCTCAGCCTCCCCAGTAGCTGGGACTATCAGCAGACACCACCACGCCCAGCTAATTTTTGTATTTTTTGTAGAGACAGGGTTTCACCATGTTGCTCAGGCTGGTCACCAACTCCTGAGCTCAAGTGATCTGCCCACCTTGGCCTCCCAAAGTGCTGGGATTACAGGCATGAGACACCACACCTGGCTGTGAATACGTTTTTAAAGTTGAGTTTGGGAATACAGAGCAGACAGATATAGTGAATCAAAGATCTTGCCTTAGCATTGGAGGATGGATGGAAAACATATATGGCTAAGTGAGGGTAGGCTAAGATTTTTATAAGAAAGAAAATTAGAGGTTGTTTTGTCTAATCTTCTCATTGTGTAGATGGGCATCTGAGCCCTTGCTACTATTCTCATGTTTAAGAATATATTAGTTAACTAATGTATTAATTCAAATATTAATTCTAGTTAATATTTTCTATCCCCAAAATTCAAAATACTAACCACTCCTCAGAATATCACTGGGACCTGAGACACCTAATAGCTTTCCTATTTGTTGTGGGAAAAAAAAGCAAGCAGGGATACAAAGGAAACCTGCAGAATAATAAATGATGTTCACAAATGTGGCCCAAAATACGTTGGAATGAGGCTCTGCTGGATTTATTGTTAGAAAGCAGCTCCCTTTCAAACTGTGCCTGAGTGATTTCTGATAATGTCACCAAGTACTCCTTTCCATGTGCTCTCATGTTCTAGCATCAGCTTCTTCCTCAGCCTGGCACTGTTACCTTTGTGCTAACAACCCTCCACCAATTGTCCTACCACTGACCATAACTGTCTTTGTTCAGTGGCTGCTTCCAATACCACCATCTGGCCTCAGAAGAACAAATCCTGCCCATTGATTGTCTGTCATAAAGATTAGATAGATACTTCTCTTTAATTCCCCATAGCGCATCATCCCAGCTCTGTAGCTAAAGAGGAAACGGAAATTTGTAACATATCTTTATTGAAGGACCAGGGATAACAGAAAGGAAACATAAGGGAACTTACAATCACCCATCACCATCATTTCAGCATATCATACAAAAGTAGGGCCCATGAGTTTTCAACACACACACACAAAAGCTGCTAATTACACAACTGTGTTTGCACCACCATGTACTCTAAACAGCAAGTAAGAAGTCATTCTCTTTCCACATGTCCAAATTCTTGCTTTCTCCAGGATGCACATTTCCTTCTCAATAATTAATCTAAACCTTATAATCTCTTTAAGCCTGAGATAAAAATGCTTTGCCCATCACCAAGTTGTACAATTTTGATTCATCTTGATATTTGTCATTTCGGCATTGTTAGAATATGTACATTTTCAACACTGAAATATAGGTATTATATTGCAAATTATTATCTTGCATTTGTTTATTTCTCTGAATGCTGTCTCCACAGCTAGATAGCTCACATTCCAAGGACAGGAACTACTATTTTTTTTTGTTTTGCCCATAATACTTTGCATTAAACTGGACATAGAGTAGCCTTTTGATACTCAAAGATTTGAGTGAATTTGACTTATAGCAGTAGAATAATTTGAGATTTGAGATATGAAGGTAATGGTCTTCAAATATTCTTTCTCCTTTCTTTGGTGATTTAATTTAAATGCCTTAGCCCAAAATATAAGTACAAACATAAATCATCATAAGCACTATCAGGAAACAATAAGGAATGGAATTCAGGATTAGAGAGAAAATAACTATGTACACATATGATTCGTTATTTGAATTTTACAATCCTGTGTTATTTTCTTCCTTTATGTAAATTGCTTCAGCTCTTAATGACAAAAATAGTCTTCGAAAATTCATTCTACTTTAATATTAGTCCAAGGAAACACTTGGATCAGTACTATCCTAAGCATATTAACCTGCTGACTAGGGACTATCTTAAAAAACAACAATCTAACATTCATTCGCTGGAACAAGGACAAATAGAACAGAAAAACTGTTCACCTCCGGACTCAGGCAATTAGTTTTAAGTATGTCTAGACGAGTGCTGCTACGAGAAGTAAATGCACTGAATAGTCACTATGAAAAAAGATAAATTGCAAAAGAAGCCAACGTAAAAGTAAATATCCTAACAGAAGGCACTTGAAAATAAATCCCCACTACTATTATTTGAAGTTTCAAAATATAAAGATCTATTAAATTTTATTTTTGAACTTTCATAACTGTCCCTCATGGTAACACTCCAGGGCAATTCAGATGGAAAATTTAAACTAAGACCCATAGGTTGGATAGAAAGTACAAATGTTCACAAAACCCTAACCTAATTGAGCAAATGAATCTAGTATTCTTTTTTTAAAAAATAGTAATAAGCCTTCTGTTATGATTAGACAATGGGTAATCTGAAGATAATCAGATATTTTAAGGATGTGGATATAGAACTACAACATGACAAATATTCTGAAGATAACGATGTTTATCTTTCTCCAGACTGACAGAAATTTCTTTTAAAAAAAAAAATTTTATTTTATTTGTGTCATAAGAGTAATAGATACATAAACACAGAAACAAATCTTTTTTTTTTTTTTTTGAGACGGAGTCTTCTATCTGTCACCCAAGCTGGAGTGCAGTGGCGCGATCTCGGCTCACTGCAAGCTCCGCCTCCCAGATTCACGCCATTCTCCTGCCTCAGCCTCCCAAGTAGCCGGGACTACAGGCGCCCGCCACCACGCCCCGCTAATTTTTTGTATTTTTTTAGTAGAGACGGGGTTTCACCATGTTAACCAGGATGGTCTTGATCTCCTGACCTCGTGATCCGCCCACTTTGGCCTCCCAAAGTGCCGGGATTATGGGCGTGAGCCACCGCGCCCGGCCAGAAACAAATCTTTTAAAAGTATAGAAGAGTTTAAAATGAAAAACAAGCCTTTCTTCTTGTCTCCCAAGCCCAATTTTACCCCTCATATATAACCATATTATTACTATTTCCGGATTTAGTTCTTCTTGAGGTTATCTTTATGACTACAAACAGTATGCTTAAATCTTTACACTTCTATTTATTTTATCAGCTGTCCTCCTTACCAGAAAAGATAAAAAAATTAGTTCATTTCCTCTGACACTCTCCGCTCCCCATTCAATCTTTATTGCATTATTATTTTGGTTAGATTACTCTCAAACTTCAAGTAATATGCATAAACATAATTTTAACTTGATTTTTAACTTTTCTGTTTCTTCAGGTTTTTTTAATTTTATTTTTTAAATTGACAAATAATTGTGCATATACATAAGGTACACAGTAGTGTTTTGATACATTATAATGTACAGTGATCAGGTCATGGTAAATAGCATATGCACCATCTCGAACTTATTTTTTTAAACTTTAAATAGCACTTTCTAACTCTTTACTACAAATATGAAAGAATTAGTTCTTCTGTACCTCATTCCACATCTCCTTCCTCCTTCCACCTCCCAATTTCAGTCAGATACACTATTATTTTACTGCCGATGATTATAGAATTTGCATTTTATTCTCTAACAATGATTAGTTCTTTCATTTTTTTGCCTATAGTTGATTCTGAAAACTGAAAGCTAATAGAAAGTATTTACATTATTATTCATTACAGAATCACACTGTATGATTGAATTTAAGGAAAAGGAAATCTAGCCTATAAAATTGAACCATGTGAATACAATATTCCAAGAGTGAGGGTCAATGACTTCTCACTATTTACTTGACCATCTCTCAAAGCCCTTGAATAGAAGGAAATAATTAAAGAAAGAATGAAGTTATATTTTCCAGAATTGTTTTAAATGTAAAATACTTTAGATTGAAAAGGCCGAAAAAATGCCAGCATAGAAATAAAGATAAAACCCACCCTGAGACACATTACAGTGGCATTTATGAATATACAAGATAAAGAGAGCCTCTTTTGTTATTTACAAGGAGAAAGAACAGATCACATACAAAAAAAATAGAATTACACTGACTTGAGATTTTTCAATAGCAATATAAGCATACAATAGAGCAGTCTTCAAAATACTGAAGAACTTAAAATCTAGAATTTTCCATGGCCGGGCGTGGTGGCTCATGCCTATAATCCCAGCATTTTGGGAGGCTGAGGCGGGTGGATCACGAGGTCAGGAGATCGAGACCATCCTGGCTAACACGGTGAAACCCTGTCTCCACTGAAAATACAAAAAATTAGCCAGGCGTGGTGGCGGGCACCTGTAGTCCCAGCTACTCGGGAGGCTGAGGCAGGAGAATGGCATGAACCTGGAGGCAGAGCTTGCAGTGAGCCACTGCCCTCCAGCCTGGGCGACAGAGCAAGGCGCCGTTGAAAAAAAAGAAAAAATCTATAATTTTCCATATTGCTATTAAAATGTGAAGACATAATAAAGTACTCTCAAATATGTAATATCTCAGAAGCTTTGCTGCTCTAGATTTTCTCTTGAATTCTCAATTATTACCATATAGCTGATACAAGGCAGACACCCAATAAACATACAATAAAGAAAGGAAGGAAAAATGGGAGGGAGAAAGGGAGTGAGAAAGGAAGGAAGAAAAGAAATCCTAAAGTAAATCCAGTATCAAGTTTCATGAAAACACAAAAACAGAGACACTATTTGGTATGTGGTTAATAACACAGTACTTGCTACGCTAAGGCATACTTTGAAAACAATTTTGAATACTTCAGTAAGAAGAGAAACAAATTCAAAAAATGATGTACATGAAATATGAAGTAAGGTGAGCAAATATTTTGTTGCCTTTATAAAAATATCTGAAACTAATTATTTGGCCTTTAAAAAACCTATGCTATAATACTGAGGATATGATGCTAAGTGAAATAAGCTAGTTACAAAAAGACAAATGCTACATGATGTCACTTACATGAGGTATCGAAAGTACTCAAACTCTCAGAACTGAAAGTAGAACGGTGGTCGCCAGGGGCTGAGCAGAGGAAGAGAAGGGGAGTTGTTGCTCAGAGGTATAGAGTTTTAGTTTTACAAGATAAAAAATGTTCTAGGCTGACTCTGGTCATACTGCCTATGCGTTAGCCCTGCTCTACAAGGAGCCATTAAAAAAAAGGAAAAAAAAAAAAACATGGTCTTAGAGGCCTGTTGCACAACAGTGGGAATATAGTTAATGGTACTGTACTATATACTTAAAATGTTTATGATGGTAAATTTTGTTATGGGCTTTTTGCCACAATAAACAAAATACCTAAAACTAGACGTTCCATCTCTGCAGTTAACTAGCAACATAGGATAGCTGCCTTTTAATTCCTCCTCAGGGAACACATGGTAACTATTAGGCTTTTAAAATACCTTCAACCTATTCTACTGTTTTCTGGGTTCCTGTTTCCTCAGTACTCTTCTTACTTATATGGCTAGAGGCTTAAACTAAGCCAATAAGACCCCCTTGTTTAGTTTATTGACTGAAACATGCCTCACCCCTTCAAATTCATATGTTGAAGCCCTGACTTTAGTACCTCACATGTGACTATATTTAGAGATAGGGCCTTTAAGGGGTAATTGTTAAAATATGACTTTAGGATATGCAAATCCAATATGACTGGTGTTTTTACAAGAGAAAGAGAAACCAGGCATGTGCATGCACAATGGCTTTGTGAAGACACAGTGAGAAGGAAGCCATCTGCAAGGCAAGGAGAGAGGCCTCAGGAAAAATCACACTTCTCAACACCTCATTCTTGGACTTCTAGCCTTCAGAACTTAGAGAAAATTAATTTTTGTCATTTAAGGCACCCATTCTGTGGTATTTTGTTATGGCAGCCCTAGTAAAGTAGTACACTGAGAAAAGTTATTTTGAATAAAGATACAAAAAAATCCAAGATGGTTGGTGTGGTGGTGCACTGTGAAGCAGTTCCATGAACAGCTAACATTTTGGGCAGAAAACAGAATATATATATATATATATATATATATATATATATATATATATATATAAAATTCAATGTCAAGAAACAGTTGGTCCAATTTAAAAACTCTAAATGAGAGTAAGGGAATATACTGATGGAGGATGAAGGCCCATTTTAGGGTAGTTAGAAAGGTAAATATTGAGAACTTTGTTCAATATATGCTTTTCTATAATGACTCAGGGAAAATATTTTCTGTGTCCATAAGATATCCATGTACATTTATCGGCAACTGGTTTATTTTCACCATGTTAAAGCCATGACACTTGTAAATGTTCAGGTTACCTATGTAACATTTGTAATTTACACTTAGAAACCAGAAAGAAAAGATAGGTTACCAATGAAGAAAAGAAAATTGGACAGATAGCTGATACCCTAATAGCAACAACAGAAGAGACAAAAGAAAGGGAAAACCTGTAATCACATTTTAAAGCTGGTCCTAATACCAGGTATATCCCTGTTAAAGTGATAGTTATATTAGGTTACTGATGTTGAACATGTGAATCAGGATAATAGCTAACAAAAATACCATTTGTTTCCCTAGGAAATAGATTCTGAAAAAAGTACCATTTGTAACGTACCAACAATACATATACAATCTCTACTCTTCAAAACAATCCTAAAAGTAGGCATTATTATATCTATTTTATAAAACAGAACTAGAGACTCAGAGAAGTTAAATTACCTAAAGCCACACAACTAATAAAAAGCAGAGCTCAAACTCAGATCCACTGTTAGATTCCAAAGTCCATATTCTATATATTACAACACAGGTCTTCTAATTCTTCTTGCTCTAGATGTATGCTCATCAAGAAAATGTTGTAGCCCTACTGGTGCCCTGCCCCAGCCAACACGTGTGCAGTCCTCAGTACTGCCATGTCTGCAGGCGTGCATGAGTGAGCACAGATCCTGCTGACACTGCCCTGATGAAGCACTTTGGCCAGTGCCACCCATCAGAGAGTTGCGGTGAGTGGACCAGGAATACCTCAGTCCCTCCAGCACAGCAGGTTTCTAAACTTGAGGGGCCAGAGAACAAAGGCTTGGTACCAGGGGGTACCGGGGTACTTCTGGGCTATGTGCTATAACTCTGGTGGGGGCTGGTACCAGGCCCCCCAGAGTTACAGCACATAGCCCAGCAGTGCTGAGCTGAGCCTTGGCCCGTTAAAATCTTCCAGAAACTAAGCCAATTGACTAAACCCACCCTATACCCAATCAAACCCAAGGGAATCAAATGAAGGGAATCAAAGGAGATAAAAGTGATAAAACCCATCTAAAGGACAGTGAATGCAAACACTGAAAGAGCATCAGCCCACACAGATGAGAAAGAACCAGTGCAAGAACTCTGGCAACTCAAAACGCCAGAGTGTCCTCTTGCCTTCCAACGACTGCACTAGTTCCCCAGTGATGGTCTTAATCAGCCTGAAATGGCTGAAATGACAAACATCGAATTCAGAATATGGATAGGAATGAAGATCATTGAACTTCAGGAAGAAGTCAAAACCCAATCCAAGGAATCTAAGAAATATGATAAAATGATACAGGAGCTGAAAGACAAAATGGTCACTTTAAGAAACAACTAAACTGATACAACAGAGCTGAAAAACAAACTTAAAGAATTTCAGAATACAATCACAAGTATTAACAACAGAATCAACCAAGCTAAGAAAGGAATCTCAGACCTTGAAGAACAATTCTCTGAAATAACTCATTCAGACAAAAAAAAAAAGAAAAAAGAAGAAAGAAGAATAAATAAAGCCTCTGAGAAATGTAAAATTATGTAAAGAGACCAAATCTATGACTCACTGGCATCCCTAAAAGAGAGAGAGAAAGCAAGCGACTTGGCAAATATATTTGAAGATATCATCCATGAAAATTTCCCCAACCTCACTAGAGAGGAAACATTTAAATTCAGAAAATGCTGAGAACCTAAGATACTATACAAGATGACCATCTCCAAAACACATAGTAATCAGATTCTCCAAGGTCAAAATGAAAGAAAAAATGTTAAATGCAGCTAGAGATAAGAGGCAGATCACCTAATAAAGCAACCCTATCAGGCTAACAATGAAATTTTCAGCAGAAGCCTAAAAAGCCAGAAGACATTAGGGAGCCTATATTCAGCATTCTTAAAGAAATTCCAGCTAATAATTTTATAGCTAGCCAAACTAGCTTTATAAGCAAAAGAGAAATAAGATCCTTTTCAGATAAGCAAGGAATTTGTTACCACCATACCTGCTTTACAAGAGGTCCTTGAGGGACTGCAAAATATGGAAAGGAAAGACTGTTACCGGCCATCACAAAAATATGCTAAGTACATTGACTATTGACTCTATAAAGTACATACACAATCAAATCTGCATAATAACCAGCTAACAATACAATGAGTGGATCAAATATGCATACATTCATATGAACCTTGAATGTAAATGGAATAAATGCCCCAATTAAAAGGCACTGAGTCGCAACTTGGATGAAGAAGCAATACCTAATAGTATGCTGTCTTCAAGACACCCATTTCACATGCAGTGACACCCATAGTCTCAAAGTAAAGGGCTGGAGAAAAATTTACCAAGCAAATAGAAAACAGAAAAAAGCAGGGGTTGCTATTCTAATTTCAAACAAAACAGACTTTAAACCAACAATGATCAAAAAAGACAAAGAAGAGCATTACACGTTAGCAGAGGGTTCAATTCAACAAGAAGGCCGAACTATCTTAAATACATATGTGTCCAACACAGGAGCATCCAGATTCATAAAACAAGTTCTTAGAGACCTTCAAAGAGACTGAGACTCCTGCACAATAATAGTGGGAGATTCCCACACCCCACTGACAGAATTAGACAGATCATTGAGGTAGAAAACTAACAAAGATACTCAGGACCTTAACTTGACACTTAACCAAATGAACCTAACAGAGACCAACAGAAATCGCCACCCCAAAACAACAGAATATACATTATTCTTATCGGCACATGGCACATACTTTAAAACTGACCACACCATTGGTCATAAAACAATTTGCAGCAAATTAAAAATAAGCAAAATCCTACCAACCACACTCTTGGACCACAGCAAAATAAAAATTGAAATCAGTACCAAGATCACCCAACTAGGCATTAAGGGAACATACCTCAAAATAATAAGAGCCATATATGACAAACCCACAGCCAACATCATATTGAAACTGGATCCTTTCCTTACACCATATATGAAAATCAACTCAAGATGGATTAAAGACTTAAGTGTAAAACCTAAAACTATAAAAATCCTGAAAGATAACCTAGGCAATATTATCTAGATGTAGGCCCTGGAAAGATTTCACGATGAAGACACCAAAAGCAATTGCAACAAAAACAAAAATTGACAAATGGGATGTAATTCAACCAAAGAGTTTCTGCTAAAAATTAATGTATTTTCAGAGTACACAGACAACCTAAAGAATAGAAGATATTTGCAAACTATACATCTAACAAAGGTCTAATATCCAGAATCTATAAGGAACTTAAACTAACCAGTTAATGCCAACCAAAATCCCATTAAAAAGTCGGCAAAGGACATGAACAGATACTTTTCAAAAGAAGACATACATGTGGCCAACAAGCATATGAAATAATGTTCATTATCACTAATCATTACAGAAATGCAAATCAAAACCACAGTTAGATACCATCTCACACCAGTCAGAATGGCTATTACTAAAAAGTCAAAAAAATAACAGATGCTGGTGAAGTTGCAGAGAAAAGAGAATGTTCATACACTGTTGGTTAGGGTGTAAATTAGTTTAGTCATTGTGAAAAGCAGTGTGGCAATTCTTTAAAAAACTTAAAACAGAAATACCGTTCAACCCAGCAATCCCTTTATTGGATATATGCCCAAAGGAATATCAGTCATTCTACCATAAAGACACATGCACGTCTGTGTTCCTCACAGCACTATTCACAATGGCAGAGACATGGAATCAACCTAAATGCACAACAATTGGTGGTACATATGCACCATGGAATACTACACAACAATGAGATCATGTCCTTTGGAGCCATATGGCTGAAGCTGATGGCCATTATCCTAAGTGAACTAATGCAGGAACAGAAAACCAAATATCACAAGCTCTCACTTATAAGTGGGAGCTAAACATTGAGTACACATGGACACAAAGAAGGGAACAATAGATACCAGGACCTACTTGAGGGTACGGGGTGGAAGGAGGGTAAGGATTGAGAAACTACCTATTGAATACTACACTTGCTACTTAGGTAATGAAATAATCTGTACACCAAATACCAATGACATGCAATGTACCTGTATAACAAAACTGCACATGGCCTTTTGCACCTAAAATAAAAGTTTTTAAAAAATAGAAAAAAAGAAAACTTTGTGTTATAATCCTAATTTCCATATAAATTTTGTTTTTAGGAAATAAAATTGCATACTCTTTTTTATATAGTTTCTAAAAGATATATTTGAAATATTAGGAAATTTACATGAATTTCATTTACACAAATATTTAGAAGCATGCCTATGATTTTAAAAATTGAATGTACTTGTCACAAATGTATGCATTTTATAAAACCTAATTTTGCCTAATTATATGAGTAAAATACCATCTTTAATATATAAAGTACTAATCTATCATCAGAAGGACATAAACATTGAAATTGTTTTAGTGCAGATGAAATGTTAGTACTACTCTACCTTTCTTTCTTGATTTTCTTTGTACCTCTTCCATCCTTCCAATTGCAAAATAATTAGTTGTGATTAAGTGTTTAACACCCGGAATATTCTGACCCACAAAAAAAAAAAATCAAATTCATGTCCTTGGCCTCTTTAGAGCAGTTTCACTAATCATCATTATCCTAATTTACTTTAAAAAATTATAAGAGTAATTATTGTCTGTAGAGTTCTTTTAGCAATTAATCATGTACTACTTTGTGACATACCTATTGTTCTCTTGAGCTGTTATTTAACTATTTTGATATTTATTTTATGCTATAATTCATCTTATATATTATCACAAAACTATCTTCCTAAAGCACAGATATTATTATATCATTGCACTACTCAAAAACTGTGAAAGGCACTTTCTCACAACCCCGTCTGGCTTCAAGCTCCTTGCTTCCACTGAATGGTGCATTGTAGAGATCATCATACTGTTCCACTGCACTCTCTGTTCTCCCTCTCAGGGACCTTGCTGTGACAGAATAGTAGACTTCCAAAGATGTCCATACACTATGCCCCAAAACCTGTGTATATTGCCTTCCATGTCAAAGGGGCCTTTGCATATGTGCTTAGGAATCTTCAGATGGAAAAATTATTCAGGATTACTTAGTTGGGCCATATAAGAGTACTCACACCACATAAGAGTACTTATAAGGGAAAGAGGGAAGCAGGAGAGCCAGAATCAGACAAGATGTGATGATAGAAGCAGGGGTCAGACAGGGAGATGATTTGAAGAGGTTATGCTGCTAGCTTTGAAGATGGAGGAAGGAGCCACAAACCAGAGAATATGGGAAACCTCTAGAACCTGGAAAAGGCAGAAATAGATTCTCCCATAGAGCCTCCAGAAGGAACTAGCCCTGCTGGCACCTTGACTTTAGCCCCATAGGACCCATTTTCAGACTTCTGACCTCCAGAAATGAAAGATAATATGCTTGTAGTTGGGTGCTGTGGTGCATGCCTGTAGTCCCAGATACTCAGGAGGCTGAGGCAGAATTGCTTGTGTCCCAGAGTTCCAGTTCAGCTTGGGTAACATATCAAGACCACAACTCGAAAAAAAAAGAAAAGAGAAAAGGAAAAGAAAAGTAAAGAAAAGAGAAGAGAAGAGAAAAGAAGAAATGCTATAACCTGAATTTAACATGTAAGAAAGTGTTACATTGTCCTTTTGCTGAAGGTTCCTGTAGTTGCTTTTGAATCTTCTGTCAGAAAGACGTCAATGGGTCTAAACTTAGTAGGACATGATTTTTATTTGCTCTTCTTTAATGATGATAGTTTACAAAGAACTACATGCAACTGCACCAAATATTCTCTGTGACCTATTGTATGTATTTTCAAAATGTTTGTCCATAATTTTTTTCTCTGTTTTCTTTGTTTTTCTCACAATCTGAAATGAGCAGAGGTCTTTGAATTAGAATTATGACCATAGCCTAGGTTTTCAGAGGAAGAGATATACCAGAGACCAAGAGGTCACATTAGATTGTACCAACCAACAGGTCTAGGAATACAGACAACTAGAAAGCCAGCAACAAAGTGAGTGGTCAAAAATCAAGTAGAAATCTTGACAAAGGAATACCAGAAATATTACAGAATGCTATTATTAACCCAATTACTTTTCCCTGTTTCCTAACTTCTCAGAAAGTTAAGAGAAAGATCATTGAATGTAGTCAATATGAGAAAGGTCTAGGCCGTCTGGAGTTTTTCTTATCTTTTGTACTGAGAAAAAAAGTGGATAACTGGCTTGACAAGAAGAAACCAAAAGTGTGATATTAAATGCCAAATAAAAAATTTACTTCATAAACGTCATGCTTAAATCCAAAATTTAAAAAACTGGCACATAGCCATAATCTGCATTTGATTTTATGTTACCTGAGTGAGAGCACTCTATATCCAGAAAATAATGTTTCTGGTGTTTGATGTTAGCATGCCCCATTCAGAACAGAATTTTATTTTTAAGATTTAAAGATTGTTGGCTATTTAAAAAGTAAAAAAACAACAGATGCTGGCGAGGTTGTAGAGAAAAGGGAACACTTATACATTGCTGATGGAAGTGTAAATTAGTTCAGCCATTGTGGAAAGCAGTATGGCGATTCCTCAAAGACCCAAAAGCAGAACTATCATTTGACCCAGCAATCCCATGACTGGGTTAATAGCCAGAGAAATATAAATCATTCCACCATAAAGACATATCCACATGAATGTTCTTTGCAGCACTATTCACAATAGCAAAAACATAGAATCAACCTAAATGCCCATCAATGACAGACTGCAGAAAGAAAACATGGTACACATACACTATGGAATATTATGCAGCCATAAAACAGAATGAGATCATGTCTTTTACAGGAACATGGATGAAGCTGGAGGCCATTAACCTTAGCAAACTATTGCAGGAACAGAAAACCAAATACGACATGTTCTCACTTATAAGTGGGAGCTGAATGATAAGAACTTATGAACACAAAGAAGGAAACAACAAATACTGGGGTCTACTTGACAGTGAAGGGTGGGAGGAGGGAGAGAAGCAGAAAAGATAACTGTGTGTACCGGACCTAATGGCTGGGTTATGAAATAATCTGTACAACAAACCCCCATGACACGAGTTTACCTACAACTATTGTGTACTGGACTTAATACCCAGGTTAGGTTATGAAATAATCTATACAACAAACCCCCATGACACATGTTTACCTATGTAACAAACCTTTACATGTACCCCCAAACCTAAAATAAAAGTTAAAAAAAAGATTGGAATAGTTGAAGCATGATTAATAGTGATTAATTATATAATCAAAATTCAAAAGACAGGTTATATTTGATTATTTACTTACAATACCATAGCTCAAGTAAATAGTCAACTGTGACTTAAAAAAATTATTTATTTCCAACTGACTTCTACCACTGAAGGCTTAAGTTTCTGATAATGGGTATCGCTCTTTTAAAGTCCTCGCCTGAAAAAGTGGTAAATCTCCCCACAAACTTCTTAAACGTAAGCTCAGGGGCCACAATATAGAAACATGGGATTATTATTTTTTAAAAAAAGAAAAGCCAATAACACCACATAAAATTAAATAGAAAACTGACAGTAGTGAAAATTCTGCCAAATGAACAAACCTCAATTTCACATATTTTTTAATGGAAGTATATTTCATGGTAAAGGCCCGGTCTCAGTTACATGGCTCTCCACTGGCATTCTCCCTCTGTGCCACAGGAGTAGCCTCCTGTGGCTATTCAAAACCTTCTGTGGGCATAAGCTACTCTGAAAAGATGTTTTATTTTGTTTATTTGTCTTGTACTAGGTCTTTATCTACTATCTCCTGTAGCTTCCTCTGCTTTAGAAGGAGATATCACCAAATGTAATCTCAAGTGTATTACTGAGAAGCATTCCACTGCAATATCTTCCATAATTTGTTTATCCATTCGCCTTTTAATAGACATTTGAGTGGTTTCTAGGTCTTATCTATTGCAAATAACACTACTGTAAACATTTGTGTCCCTGTATTTGTGTGGACACTTGCTTTTCTTTTTTAAGAGATGAGGTCTCCCTATGTTGCCCAGGCTAGAGGGCAGTGGCCATTCACAGGCACAATCATATGACACTGTGGAACTCCATGGCTCAAGTGATTCCCCCACCTCAGCCTCCCAGGTAGCTGGGACTACAGGCTTGCACCACTGTGCTTGGCTATTTCTCTTGAGTGAATAGCTAGAAATGAAATTGTTGGATCACATGAAGGATGTATGTTCAGCTTCTTAAGAAACTGTCAAACTGCTGTCAAAAGTGGTTATACCATGTTATATTCCCATCAACAGTGTATATGAGTTCCGTTTCCTAAACATCTTTGCCAAAATCAGTCTTTTTAAATTTTAGCCATTCCAGTAGGTGTGTAATGGAATCACATTGTGAATTTAATTTGCACATCCCTTATTACTAATGATGTTGAGCATTTTTCATGTGCTTATTGGCCATTTGAATATCTTCTTTAGTGAAGTGTCTTTTCAAATGTTTTTGCTCATTTCTGGGAATTGTTTTTTTACTGTTAAGTTTTGAAAGATTTTTATATATTCTGGCCAAGAGTCATGTATCAAATACATGATTTGAAAATGTTGTCTACCAATTCATGTCTTTCATTTTCCAAGCAGCTTCCTCTGCAGAGCAAAAGTTGTTAATTTTGATGAAGTCCAATTTATCAATTTATGTTAATGAATGGTGATTTTGGTGTCATATCCAAGAAAGTATTATGTAACCCAGTGTTATCTCCTATATTTTTCTGTGCCTATTTAGATGAATCATGTAATTTTTCTTTTTAGTTTGTTAATGTGGTAAATTACATCAATTGTTTTTCAAATGTTTACTCAATCTTGCATTCCTGGAATAAACCTCACCTAGTCATTCTGTATTATCTTTTTTACATAGTTTTTATTAGATTTGCAAAAAAAAAAAGTTTTGTTTAACAATTGCTATATATGATTATAAGAAATAGTGATCTGTAGTTTTATTTCCTTGTAATATCTTTTTTTTTTTTGTCTTTTTAATTAAGACACGGTCTCACTCTGTCACCCGGAGGGCAGTTGCACAATCATGGCTCAGCTCACTGCAACTCGACCTCCCGAGCTTGGGTGATCTTTCCATTGTCAGCCTACGTGCGCATGCCACCACGCCCAATTTTTTTGTGTTTTTTGTAGAGATGGGATTTTGTCGTGTTGCCCAGGCTGGTCTCAAATTCTGGGACTCAAGCCATCTACCCACGTTAACCTCCCAAAGAGGCTTCCTAATTTATTCTGTAAGGCCAAAAAGTACTCTTATTCCTAAACAACAACAACAACAAAAAGGTATTAATACCCAAAGTACTCATATACACAAACAAAAATTAAATATTTTTCTTTGTTTGACTATAAGAGTACTTTTGGCCTCATAGAATGAATTAGGAAGTATCCCCCATTTTCAGTTTTCTGGAAGAGTTTGTGGGGAATTGGTATTATTTCTTCCTTAAATGTTTGTTGGAATTCACCAATGAAACCAGCTGGAACTGAAGTTTTCATTGTAGTAAAGTTGTTCACTACAAATTCTATGTCTTTAATAGACATAGGGCTATTCAGTTTATTTCTTCTTTAATGAGTTTGGTGGTCTGTGTCTTTGAAGGAATTTGTTCATTTGATCTGAGTTGTCTAATTTATTGGCATAATGTTCATAATTGTTAAGTCAGAAACTGTCAAAGGTCAGAGATCTTATCCTGCTTGCAAGCCAATAAGTTAGCCTGCCACAGTTTTATAGACATATAGATTTAGCTATCTTGACAGGAGAAAAAATGTTTTTTGGATAAGACAAATAAGTTATTATTTACAGCAAAAACAGCCAGAGCAGCTTCTTTCCGGAAAGAAAGACGCTTTCTGGAACAATTTCCCCAGCTCCAGTCTCCATGGGCCAACATGATTGAGAGTGAGATATTACTTGTGCATGTAACAGAAATGCATCCAAGGAGAGGAATTCTAAACTTATGAGGTTCAGAGCTTATATAGGGACTGCTGTATATATGCCTATTTTCATTTCCAGAGAGAAAAAGAGAGGGTATGTTTTATTCTGAAATGTAAACAAATCCTCTTCAGGAAAGAAGGGGAAGATCTTTATCTTTATTATTTTGGAATGTAAGCAAATGTCTCGACAGGAGACAAATCTCTAAATTTCCAGCTTTCAAGTCCCTTGCTATTCAGACATTATCCCTTGCTTTAAAGATATGAATCATAAAGAAATGTGAAAATGTTCATGGAGAATTGTCTGCCAACATCAAATACCATACATCCTATTATAAACACAACAAACTCCTGTCCTCAGGGGAGGCCATTCAAAAATCCATCTGGCTACTACATCAAGAGGCAATGTCATAAGACCACTATTATCTAGAGGATGTCCAGGACCCTGTAATTTGAGTAGAGGAATCTGATTCAAATATATACATTCATTCCATCTTGTGGCCATGCAACCCCTAGGGTCCCATTATCTCTACAATCTAGGATGAAGTTCCACATCCAGTTTCCAATCAGAAGAAGAAAAAGAATGTCAGAAAGGCCTAGCTTCTCTCTTAAAGGACTGTGGTAGGCAGCCTCCAAGATGCACCGCCACCACCAGTGAATTCCACCTCTGGGTAGCCACACTTCTTCTGTAGTACTCTCCCACATTGAAAGGAGCTGACCTGTATAACCAATCTGATATTGTGGCAATGACCACATACAACTTTTGAGGCCAGGTCACAAAAGATACTGCAGCTTCTGCCTTCCTCTCTTGGGTCACTTGCTATGGGCAAAGACAGCTGTCATGTTATGAAGACACTCAGGTAGTCTTTTCAGGAGATGCATGTGGAGAAAAAAAAAAAAAACCCGAGGTATCCTGCCAAAGGCCATGTAAATAAGTCATTTTGGAAGTGAAACCTCAAGTCCCAGCAAAGCCTTCAGATGACTGCAGCCCCATTGCCATCTTGACTACAACCAAGACCGTGATCTAGAACCATTCAGCAAAGCCAATTCTGAATTTGCAACTCCATAGAAACTGTATGAAATGTTTATTGTTATTTTAGGCTATCATTTGTATAGCAAGAGATAACTAATATAATGGTATTCATTACTTCCATTCACATTTCACTGGTAAAAATTTACTTGGACCACATATGACCAAGAGAGTGTAAGAAATGTAGGCTAGCCATATACCCAGTAAGAAAACGAGAAAAGCTTTTGGTGGACAGCTGGTATTATCTGCAAAACACATTCTAATATCTGGACATTATCTAACCTGTGCCTCAGTTTCTCCTTTATTTTAGGTTCAGGGGTACACATGAAGGTTTATTACATAGGTAAACTTACATCACAGAGGTTTGATGTACAGAGTATTCAATCATCTAGGTATTAAGCCCATATGCAATAGTTATCTTTTCTGCTCCTCTCCCTCCTCCTACCCTCCACTCTCAAGTAGACTCCCTCCTCCCACCCTCCACTCTCAAGAAAGTTGTTTCTTTCTTTGTGTTTATAAGTTCTTATCATTTAGCTCCCACTTATAAGTGAGAACATGTGGTATTTGGTTTCCTGTTCTTGCATCAGTTTGCTAAGGATAATAGCCTCCAGCTCCATCCATGTTCCTGCGAAAGACTTGCTCTCATTCTTTTTTATGGCTGCATAGTTTTCCATGGTGTATGTATACTACATGTTCTTTATGCAGTCTACCACTGATGGGCATTTAGGTTGATTTCATGTCTTTTCTATTGTGAACAATGCTGCAATGAACATTCATGTGGATGTGTTTTTATGGTAGAATGATTTATATTCCTCTGGGTATATGCCTAGGAATGGGATCCAATGGTGGTTCTGCTTTTAGGTCTTTGAGGAATCACCATACTGTTTTCCACAATAGCTGAACTAATTTACACTCCCACCTGCAGTGTATAAATGTTCCCTTCTCCACAACCTTGCCAGCATCTGTTATGTTTTTGACTTTTTAATAATATCAATTCTGACTGATGTGAGATGGAATCTCATTGTAGTTTTGATTTACATTTCTCTAATGATAAGTCATATTGAGCTTTTTTTCATATGCTTGTTGGTCACCTGTATGTCTGTTTGGAGAAGTGTCTGTTCATGTTCTTTACCCACTTTTTAATGGGATTGTTTGTTTTTCTCTTATAAATTTGTTTAAGTTCCTTAGAGATGCTGGATATTAGATGGGTATCAGGTGTATAGTTTGCAAATATTTCCTCCTGTTCTGTAGGTTGTTTATTCTGCTGAAAGTTTCTTTTGCTGTGCAGAAGTGCTTAGGTTTAATTAGATCCCACGTGCCAATTTTTGCTTTTTGTTGCAATTGTTTTTGGTGTCTTTGTCAAGAAATCATTGTCCATTCCCATGTGCAAGATGGTATTGCGTAGGTTGTCAGAAAGCCTAAATTTTAGTGATGATTAGCCATTTCTGCATAGCTGACTTGTGTTAAATCCCCACAATTGAACCAAAGAATAGAGGCCAGGAAGCAGAATTAAATTCTACTAGTATAATGGCCATCATGATACACAAATGGATGGGGATAGCAGTCCTCAGAAGATTTGTGTGGTGGGGTACTCAGTAGACAGTTTCATAGATGTGCGCTTCATTGCTCAATAAATATCTGTAGAATAAATAAATTATTAAATTAAACTTCCCTACAAAGGAAAGTCTACAACATAAAACTGTTAATGGGCATAAGACAGATCTGTATGTCATGACATGAAAAGAAGTCTGTGCTATACTGTTAAGTGATAAATACAGATTATAGAATAGTCTGAATAAAACGATCCCATTTATAAAACAAAACAAATGAATATGAATAAATATATTTTCATGAAAACATCTTGAAAAATGTTCAAACTGTTAACAATGGTTGCCTCTGAGAACATTCACCTTCTCTTTATATTAATACAGTTTTGCTATTTGAGTTTTTACTGTCTATTTTATATATACTGCATTATTTAAATTGTTTACAATAAATAGCTATTACTTTTATAGGGATATATAGTAATAAAAAGCAATAAAATCAAATATACTATAAGGAAAAAACTCTCTTTAAAATGCTTCACAAATTCTTTTTCCTCCAATGCATACTACTTCCTTAGTTCAGGTCTTTGTCATTTATAAGCTAGACCAGAATTCAGCAAACTTTTCATGTAAAGGGTCATATCATAAATATGTTATGCAACTCTTTCACAGCTACTCAATTCTACTGTTGCAGCTTGAAAGCATTCGTGGATAATACCTAAACTAATGGGTGTGTCTGTGTTCAATAAAACCTTATGTAATAAAACAGGTGATGGGCCAGCCCCTCGGCCATTGTTTTTTGACCCCTCAATTAGACAACTGAAGTCCCCCAATTCAGCCTCCAATCCTTTTCCACTCACTCTCATGTATCTTACGCTTTTCCTACATATGTCATGTAATTTCTTTCCACCCTATGTTTTTGCTTAAGTCTTAATGGTCTAGAAAATTCCTAGACATTTGGTAACTTCAAGATTATTTTTAAGACCCTGAATAGATTTCATACCCAAATAAGTAAAATGGACTGCACTTTGTTCAGTGCTTCCACAGTCTGTGTACATATCTTGATTAGCACCTTGTAATGATTTCCATATATGGCTCCCATTTAGACATGGGGACTGAGACTACACCTTTGAATTCCTGGAGCCTATAACAAGACAGGGCAAAGAGTGGGCATTCAGAAATGTTTGCTGAGTGAATAGAGAAGTATCTCTTTGGCTTCTTAGGCTTTCAAATTAGGTGCAGAAAATTGCTTCTCCTGGCAGTTTTCCTTTTCCTTTCTTGATCAGAACAATCAATACCTGGAAGTTGGATCTTTCTCTCTTACTTTCCACATTTCTGCATGATTTAATGCCTACAGCAAATAAGATCATATAGCTAATATCAAATTTTTTAATCTCATTTGTCGTCTGATCCAAAGCAATGCTTTAAGCAGCATTTACAAGTAAAGACATTCAGGATATAGTTCACTTTTGCTCTCTGGTCCCATTTACAAGGATTTCCTCATAGCCCAGGTTTACTACAACACGGTTTACTAGATGATGAACTACTTGACTATAGGGACTTTATTTTTTAAAAGCTAAGAAATATTTAGTGCATAAGTGACTGAGTCACTAGGTTACAACCTGAAAACTCAAAATATGTTCCATCTATGCTTGGGACTATTTCACAGGTTTTGTACATAGGAGACATCTTATTTTATATAAAATAATCAATTACCTTATATTTAAAAAAACAGTGATTATGGGCCCACTATATGTTATATATCTTCTTTCATATTATTCAATTTAATTCTCCCTCAGACCTTTAGATGGCTATTGTCATTAATTTCCTAATGAGGAAATTGAGGCTCAGAGATGTTAAGTAGCTTGTCCAGTGTCATAGTAAACAAGGGGATACAGGCTGGGCACAATGGCTCATACCTGTAATTCCAACACTTTGGGAGGCTGAGATGAGTGGATTACTTTAGCCCAGGAGTTCAAGATCAGCCTGGGCAACATGTGAGACCTTGTCTCTATAAAAAAATAAGAAATTAGCCAGGTGTGGTGGTGTGTGCCTGTAGTCCCAGCCACTTGGGAGGCTGAGGTGGGATGATTGCCTGAGTCCACGAGTTTGAGGTTGCAGTGAGCTGTGGTTGCACCACTGTACTCCAGCCTGTGCAACAGAACAAGACTTTGTCTCAAAAACAAACAAATAAAAAACCATGAGGGGATATACCTGGGTCTCCAACTTTGTTCATCAGATTGTAAGTCCTGTAGTCTTTTCTCATACATAGCTTGCTTTCATCTTCCTTTGATTCTTAACATTTGTCGAAAGCCATTTGTATATAATTTATAATTAGTTATTGAACTATCCTATCAAGTCCTGGAGCTTTTGCACCTGACTTTCTGTTAAACAATATGGTTAATATATCAAGCCATTGTTAAAAGGGGTTCAAAAATTTGCATACTGAACATTTTAAAAATATTTAGAATAATCAATTAAAAGTTTTAAGTACTACTATTTACAGAGTTTTGTTGGGTGGTCCCTGGATTTTGACCACCAGTCAGATGGACCAAACTGAGATGACCTACGTCTGAACTGAATAAATATCCATCCATAGGCAAGGCAAGTGAGTGGACTAGACCTGTGCAGCCCAGACATGGTCAGCAAAGGTCAATGTCAGTTACAATATCAGGAAAATTCAACAGTAGGTGAGATCTCCAGTAGATGTACAAAACATAGCAATAGAAGGACCAGAGGTATACTCATCATTCAAAAGATCCAGAAGCTGATAACTGAAAACCCTCATGGGGTAAGGACTGAATGGTAAACAAACAAACAAGCAAACAAAAAAGAAGCTAAGCTCCATAAGAGGTAGAATACTCTGTCTTAGATGCAAGGCAGAGACTCAGGCACAGGGAAACCAGACAGTATGTCAGAGACAAGAACTGGGATGCAAAGTCAAAGTGATACCAGCTAATTCATGACTTAGGTCCCTCCCATTCTCTCTGCCCAAAGGGCAAAATGTTCCAAGCAGTCATACAGGTCAGAATCTCTCAGTGACATATACAATCCTCCAGCTATGAAGAGACAGGAAAAACAAGCAGAGATTACAATACCCATCTGTATAAATTTCTCTTCCAGTGTGTCCATTCTCTTACACATGTCTCTCTATCTCATCTCTCTCCTGCATGCCTCTCCTTTTTCCTTGCTCCTTAATATTCAAAGGATTTACATAACCTAAGTATACTTTGAGATATTGTTCTTAATTATTAAATAATGTTTTTTTTTTAAATAATTGAATGGTTTATATTTCACTATGAAAAGAATATAAATTCAATTTATTTTGTTGCTTTGGTTCAATAGTCCTCTATAGAATTCCTAACTCTGCCTTATTATTTTTAATAATAAAATAAAACTGCTTTATTTTATTCACTAAATTAAAAATTAAAATTAATCCAAACCACACAAATTGAATTTTTAAAAAATCTCTACACTCCAAAAAAAATCAAGCATATACATGCTCCTAAATATTCACAAATGATGAAACGGTAATTATTCACTGTGCATTCACTTGATGAAATATTATGCACTGATTAAAATGATATTTTAAAATGCTAAGAAGCCAGGTAAAGAAATGCTTATATTTGAAAATATAAATCTGAACCCATGACTACAACTAGGTAAAATTTTTGTAATTATCTAGGCAAAAATATTTAGAGAGTATAAAAAAAAATACGGTTCATAGGGATGCAGAAAGAAAGATGAATGGTAAATTATATATTTTTTTGTTATTATAATGTTACATGGCAATTAATTATATTTCTTGAAATGAAATGTATATTTCACACATATATTCTTATTCTTTTATATATTTATCGAAATGGTGCATGAGCTCACTGGACATATAGCCAATTTCACGGAGCTACTACCCTAAAAATGCTCAACTGTTCAGCTATGATACTTTTAAAATAAAGTATTTTAAATAACCTAGTATCTTTAGGAAATGAAACCGTAACGTTATGTACCTAAAAAAAAGTTCATCCATGATAGATACGATAAAGTAAGGCATCATTGAAAATGGTTAGATTAGAATGAATTGAGTTCCAGGTAAATCTCTATCTTTGAGTCCCTGATTACCCCTATTTCCCAACTCTAACTTTCCTCATCCTCGTGAAATAGCAAAGAGCCACTGTTTATATTTGGGGTTTGAAATTTGTCTGTAATCCTCAATATTCCTGCAGAAAACACCAAAAGACTAACTTTTTGCCCTTAATCTGCTTTCTGATATGTCATTTTTTGTTTCTAGTTTAAATGCACTTAAATCCTGCACAAAATTAAATTCTGATTGCACATTCACTTACCTTTTATTTCTTAAAAGTAGTTTTCCTTCCTTTGAGTTTATAGAAGCAGTTTGATAAAGGCCTGCTTACATGTGCAATTTTATTAAATTAATATACATTCAATGAAAACTTTCAGATATGATTATTTTACTATTCATAATATATAACTTGTTTCCTTTGAGAAAACATTTATTCTTCCAACAAATAACTTCAATAAAATACAATAGCATAATATTGAATATATGGATAGACTCTTTTCATTGTGAAGAAATAAAATGCTTATTAAAAATATGAACCGTTCCCATAAGAACTTCTTAAAAATCCATTCTAAAAAGATGAAGTAAAAGGGATTCTTATAATAGTATTAAAATTTGAGGCAGCTTCAACTGAAATAAGATTCTATATGAAAACGGTTGCTTATTGTTTATATCTTCAGATTCATTGCCACTATATTGTTTCGGTTACTAGCTATGACCTACTTTTCATTTGTTTTTATGCTTTTTTTTAATCTTATGGCAAAATGCAAAATACTGAAAGAAATGTTTAAATAACCTCAAGGATGTTTATGTCAACCATTCTAGAAAAAACTTGAGTTTTGGTGAGTATAAATTTGGGGTGGTAACTCTAAGGCAGTAGCATGCTGGGTATATTCAGCAACAGCAAGGAGGCAGGATGGTTGGAGCAAAGAGTTAGATTGAGGGGGTGAGTATAGCAGATAAGATCAAAAGATAACCAAGGGGCAGGACATAGCTATGCAGAGGTCTTTGGATTTTATTACACATGTTTGATGGTAAGCCGTTTGAGGATTTTGAGCAGGAGTGACATGATCATATTTACATATCCAAAGGCTCAGTCTTGCTGCTGTGTGGCGAACAGACTGTAGATTGGGCAAGAGTGGAATCAGGATGGTGGTTTGAGAAAGGTGGCTTTGTACTGGGTGATAAGGTGCGGTCAGATTCTGGAGCTGTGCACACCTAAAGACAGAACCCTTATCTAGTTTCACCTGCTGTTAACATTGTACCCTGTCTGCTTTATCAGCTCCTCCTTTCTCTCTTTCAATATATATGTATATATGTATAAACTTATATTTATATAAATATGTATTAATATAAAATATAAAGACAATATCAATAATATGTCAAATATATTAATATATCATACAGTATATAATATATAAATATATAATATGTTATATAATATATATAAATTTATATACAAATAGTGTTTTTCTTTCATTTTAGCTATTGGAAGGTAAGTTATTTTCATCTTACATTGTGACCCTTTACTTCTAAATTTAGCAGTGTGTATTTCCGTGTTTCCTAAGAATAGGATCATCTCTTACATAACCACAGCACAATGATCGGCTCCAGTAAATTTAACATAATAAAATACCTTTATGTAATTTACCATTTGTGTCCCAATCTTGTCAGTTAACCAGTAATGTCCTTTTTCTTGCCTCTAGTACAGGATTCAGTATTACATTTAGTTGCTGTGTCTCTTTAGGTTCCTTTAATATGGAACATTTCAACAAATTTTCTTGGTCTTTTATGAATATATTTTTAAGGTGAGCCAACTGACAGGACTGTATATTGATACAAATTGATTTGATGTGGGCTTTGAGGGAATTGAGGAAGACTACAAGACTTCTGGCTTGAGAAAAGGAATGGGCCTCATTTATTGTGATAACCAGTAAAAGAAAGATACGGTACAGGTATTACGAATAGGATTCACTAAAGAAGTGACTTTCTGTGAAAGGGATGTCTAGTGCTCACTGGTATCTGGTTCTGTTATCTTAAACATGCTGGAGGATTATACTTCTCTACCACCTTATGTGGGACTATGAGACCAATTTTGGTTAATGAGTTGTGAGCTGAAGTCATAGAATTGCTCTGAAGAATTGCACAGACCCATAGCTGACTTTGCATAAATGAATAAACATTTTGTTAATCCACTGAGATTTTGGAGTTAATTGCTACTTAGTCTGTCCTAAGTCACCATTAGATGTTCAAACGGAAATGATTTGTAGACATTTGGATGTAAAATCCTGGAGTTGGGGCCAGGTTAGATCTGGAATGTTTGGGGGTCATCAACTTACAAATGATATTTAGAGCAATAAGATCCTCCATCCAGTGACATGAAGTGAACATAATTGATAGGTGATGATGGATGGATGAAATGAATAGATAGATAGATAGATAGATAGATAGATAGATAGATAGATAGATAACCAAGCCCTCAACTGCCTGCCATAGATGCTTAATCCAGGAAGGAAAAGACGTCTCACCTAAGCCAGCCACCAAAAGTCTTTTGTAAGGTTTTTCAAACTACAACTAAGGAAAGCGAGCCAGTCTCTCCTAGGTGGTTGAAATCATAGACCATAGAAGTCATAATCTAAGCTATGTGGAGTGATTTATTTGGTGAATACTCTCAGAAAAGGAGTGAGGGGAACAGAACAGGGAAGGGAAAGGAAGCTAAACAAATGGTCTTAGCTGGAGGCAAGCATCAGACTGGTCACACAAGGAAACTAAAGGTGTTTGTTTATTTGTTTAAACCAATGTCTATAAAATTCAGGAAAGTTATTTCATTTGAAAACAACTAAAAATATTTAGCAATTCAAAGGTTCAGGTTCAGAAGATATACCATCCATGTACCATAATTTACTTAAATATTAAACTCCAGCAGTAAAATAATGAACCAAAATAAAGACCTTAAAACAGTATATCATTGCCCGGTCACTTGCAAGACGGCTGAATAGGAACAGCTCCAGTCCGCAGCTCCCAGCGAGATTGACGCAGAAGACGGGTGATTTCTGCATTTCCAACTGAGGTACCTGGTTCTTCTCATTGGGACTGGTTAGACAGTGGGTGCAGCCAACAGAGGGCGAGCTGAAGCAGGGCGGGGCATCACCTCACCCGGGAAGTGCAAAGGGTTGGGGGATTTCCCTTTCCTAGCCAAGGGATGCCATGACAGACTGTATGTGGAGAAATGGGACACTCCTGCCCAAATGCTGTGCTTTTCCCATGGTCTTAGCGACCAGCAGACCAGGAGATACCATTCCGTGACTGGCTCGGCAGTTCCGACGCCCACAGAGCCTTGCTCACTGCTAGCGCAGGAGTCTCAGATCAACCTGCAATGCTGCAGCTTGACAGAGGGAGGGGCGTCCACCATTGCTGAGGACTGAGTAGCTCACAGTGTAAACAAAGCGGCCGGGAAGCTCAAACTCAGCAGAGCCCACTGCAGCTCAGCAAGGCCTACTGCCTGTCTAGATTCTACTTCTCGGGGCAGGGCATAGCAGAACAAAAGGCAGCAGACAGCTTCTGCAGACTTAAACACCCCTGTCTGACAGCTCTGAAGAGAACAGTAGTTCTCTCAGCATGGCTTTCGAGCTCCAAGAACACACAGACTGCCTCCTCAAGCGAGTCCCTGATCCCCGTGTAGCCTGACTGGGAGAAACCTCCCAGTAGCGGCCAACACACACCTCAAAGAGGTGGGTGCCCCTCTGGAACGAAGCTTCCAGAGGAAGGATCAGGCAGCAATATTTGCTGTTCTGTAGTCTCCAATGGTGATACCTAGGCACATAGGGTCTGGAGTGGACCTCCAGAAAACTCCAACAGACCTGCAGCTGAGAGGCCTGACTGTTAGAAGGAAAGCTCAGAAACAGAAAGGAATAGCATCAACATCAACAAAAATGACATTCACACAAAAACCCCATCTGTAGGTCACCAACATCAAGGACCAAAGGTAGATAAAACCACAAAGATGGGGAGAAACCAGAGCAGAAAAGCAGAAAATTCCAAAAACCAGAGCGCCTCTTCTCCTCCAAAGGATCTCAGCTCCTTGCCAGCAACAGAACAAAACTGGATGGACAATGACTTCAACAAGTTGACAGAAGTAGGCTTCATAAGGTCGGTAATAACAAACTTCTCCAAGCTATAGGAGCATGTTCTAACCCATCGCAAAAAAAGCTAAAAACCTTGAAAAAAGATTAGAAAAATGGCTAACTAGAATAAACAGTGTAGAGAAGACTTTAAATTACCTGATGGAGCTGAAACCCACAGCACGAGAAATTAGTGACCCATGCAAAAGCTCCAATAGCCAATTCAATCAAGTGGAGAAAGGATATCAGTGATTGAAGATCAAATTAATGAAATAAAGAGAGAAGACAAGATAAGAGAAAAAAGAGGGAAAAGAAACAAGCCTCCAAGAAATACAGGACTATGTGAAAATACCAAATATACATTTGATTGGTGTACCAGAAGGTGACAGGGAGAATGGAACCAAGTTAGAAAACACTCTTCAGGATATTATCCAGAAGAACTTCCCTAACCTAGAAAGGCAGTCCAGCATTCAACTTCAGGAAATACAGAGAACACCACAAAGATACTCCCCAAGAAGAGCAACTCCAAGACACATAATTGTCAGACTCACCAAGGCTGAAATGAAGGAAAAAATATTAAGGGCAGCCAGAAAGAAAGGACAGATTACCCACAAAGGGAAGCCGATCAGACTAACAGTGGACCTCTCAGCAGAAATCCTACAAACCAGAAGAGAGTAGGGCCAATATTCAACGTTGTTAAAGAAAAGAATTTTCAACCCAGAATCTCATATCCAGCCAAACTAAGCTTCATAAGTGAAGGAGAAATAAAATCCTTTACAGACAAGCAAATGCTGGCAGATTTTGTCACCACCAGGACTGCCTTACAAGAGCTTCTGAAGAAAGCACTAAACATGGAAAGGAACAACTGGTACCAGCCACAGCAAAAACATACTAAATGGCAAAGACCATCAATGCTACGAAGAAACTGCATCAATTAATGGGCAAAATAAACAGCTAACATCATAATGACAGGCTCAAATTCAAACATAACAATATTAACCTTAAATGTAAATGGGCTAAATGCCCCGATTAAAAGACACAGACTGGCAAATTGGATAAAGAATCAAGACCCATCAGTTTGCTTCATTCAGGAGAATCATCTCATGTGCAAAGACACACATAGGCGCAAAATAAAGGGATGGAGGAAGATCTACCAAGCAAATGGAAAGCAAAAAAAAGCAGGGGTTGCAATCCTAGTCTCTGATAAAACACACTTTAAATCAACAAAGATCAAAAGAGACAAAGAAGGCCACTACATAATGGTAAAGGGATCAATTCAACAAGAAGAGCTAACTATCCTAAATATATGCATCCAATACAGGGGCACCCAGATTCATAAAGCAAGTCCTGAGAGACCTAAAAAGAGACTTAGACTCCCACACAATAATAATGGGAGACTTTAATACCCCACTGTCAATATTAGACAGATCAACAAGACAGAAGGTTAACAAGGATATCCAGGAGTTGAACTCAGCTCTGGACTAAGTGGACCTAATAGACATTTACATAACTCTCCACCCCAAATCAACAGAATATACATTCTTCTCAGCACCACATCACACTTATTCTAAAATTGACCACAAAATTGGAAGTAAAGCACTCCTCAGCAAATGTAAAAGAACAGAAATCACAACAAACTGTCTCTCAGACCATAGTGCAATCAAATTAGTATTCAGCATTAAGAAACTCACTCAAAACCACACAACTACATGGAAACTGAAAAACCTACTCCTGAATGACTACTGGGTAAATAACGAAATGAAGGCAGAAATAAAGATGTTCTTTGAAACCAAAGAGAACAAAGACACAACATACCAGAATCTCTGGGACACATTTAAAGCAGTGTGTAGAGGGAAATTTATAGCACTAAATGCCCACAAGAGAAAGCAGGAAAGATCTAAAATTGACACCCTAACATCACAATTAAAAGAACTAGAAAAGCGAGAGCAAACACATTCAAAAGTTAGCAGAAGGCAAGAAATAACTAAGATTAGAGCAGAACTGAAGGAAATAGAGACACAAAAAACCCTTCAAAAAATCAATGAATCCAGGTCCTGGTTTTTTGAAAAGATCAACAAAATTGATAGACCGCTAGCAAGACTAATAAAGAAGAAAAGAGAGAAGAATCAAATAGATGCAATAAAAAATGATAAAGGGGATATCACCACTGATCCCACAGAGATACAAACTACCATCAGAGAATACTATAAACACCTCTACACAAATAAACTAGAAAATCTAGAAGAAATGGATACATTCCTCGACACATACACCCTCCCAAGACTAAACCAGGAAGAAGTTGAATCTCTGAATAGACCAATGACAGGTTCTGAAATTGAGGCAATAATTAATAGCTTACCAACCAAACAAAGTCCTGGACCAGATGGATTCACAGCTGAATTCTACCAGAGGTACAAGGAGGAACTGGTACCATTCCTTCTGAAACTATTCCAATCAATAGAAAAAGAGGGAATCCTCTCTAACTCATTTTATGAGGCCAGCATCATCCTGATACCAAAGCCTGGCAGAGACAAAACAAAAAAAGAGAATTTTAGACCAATATCCCTGATGAACATCGATGCAAAAATCCTCAATAAAATACTGGCAAACTGAATCCAGCAGCACATCAAAAAGCTTATCCACCATGATCAAGTGGGCTTCATCCCTGGGATGCAAGGCTGGTTCAACATATGCGAATCAAGAAACATAATCCAGCATATAAACAGAACCAATGACAAAAACCACACGATTATCTCAATAGATGGAGAAAAGGCCTTTGACAAAATTCAACAACACTTCATGCTAAACACTCTCTATAAATTAGGTATTGATGGGATGTATCTCAAAATAATAAGAGCTATCTATGACAAACCCACAGCCAATATCATACTGAATGGGCAAAAATTGGAAGCATTCCCTTTGAAAACTGGCACAAGACAGGGATGCCCTCCCTCACCACTCCTATTCAACATAGTGTTGGAAGTTCTGGCCAGGGCAATCAGGCAGGAGAAGGAAATAAAGGGTGCTCAATTAGGAAAAGAGGAAGTCAAATTGTCCCTGTTTGCAGATGACATGATATATATCTAGAAAAACCCATTGTCTCAGCCCAAAATCTCCTTAAGCTGATAAGCAACTTCAGCAAAGTTTCAGGATACAAAATCAATGTGCAAAAATCACAAGCATTCTTATACACCAATAACAGACAAACAGAGAGCCAAATCATGAGTGAACTCCCATTCACAATTGCTTCAAAGAGAATAAAATACCTAGGAATCCAACTTACAAGGAATGTGAAGGACCTCTTCAAGGAGAATTACAAACCACTGCTCAACGAAATTAAAGAGGACACAAACAAATGGAAGAACATTCCATGCTCATGGATAGGAAGAATCAATATTGTGAAAATGGCCATACTGCCCAAGGTAATGTATGGATTCAATGCCATCCCCATCAAGCTACCAATGACTTTCTTCACAGAATTGGAAAAAACTACTTTAAAGTTCATATGGAACCAAAAGAGAGCCCACATTGCCAAGTCAATCCTAAGCCAAAAGAACAAAGCTGGAGGCATCATGCTACCTGACTTCAAACTATACTACAAGGCTACATTATCCAAAACAGCATGGCAGTGGTACCAAAACAGAGATATAGACCAATGGAACAGAACAGAGCCCTCAGAAATAATGCCGCATAACTACAACCATCTGATCTTTGACAAACCTGACAAAAACAAGCAATGGGAAAAGGATTCCCTATTTAATAGATAGTGCTGGGAAAACTGGCTAGCCATATGTAGAAAGCTGAAACTGGATCCCTTCCTTACACCTTATACAAAAATCAATTCAAGATGGATTAAAGACTTAAACGTTAGACCAAAAACCATAAAAACCCTAGAAGAAAACCTAGGTATTACCATTCAGGACATAGGCATGGGCAAGGACTTCATGTCTAAAACACCAAAAGCAATGGCAACAGAAGCCAAAATTGACAAATGGGATCTAATTAAACTAAAGAGCTTCTGCACAGCAAAAGAAACTACCATCAGAGTGAACAGGCAACCTACAAAATGGGAGAAAATTTTTGCAACCTACTCATCTGACAAAGGGCTAATATCCAGAATCTACAATGAACTCAAACAAATTTACAAGAAAAAAACAAACTCATCAACAAGTGGGTGAAGGATATGAACAAACACTTCTCAAAAGAAGACATTTATGTGCCAAAAGACACAAGAAAAAATGCTCATCATCACTGGCCATCAGAGAAATGCAAATCAAAACCACAATGAGATACCATCTCACACCAGTTAGAATAGCGATCATTAAAAAGTCAGGAAACAACAGGTGCTGGAGAGGATGTGGAGAAATAGGAACACTTTTACACTGTTGGTGGGACTGTAAACTAGTTCAACCATTGTGGAAGTCAGTGTGGTGATTCCTCAGGGATCTAGAACTAGAAATACCATTTGACCCAGCCATCCCATTACTGGGTATATACCCAAAGGATTATAAAACATGCTGCTATAAAGACACATGCACATGCATGTTTATTGCAGCACTATTCACAATAGCAAAGACTTGGAACCAACCCAAATATAAAACAAAGATAGACTGGATTAAGAAAATGTGTCACATATACACCGTGGAATACTATGCAGCCATAAAAAATGATGAGTTCATGTCCTTTATAGGGACATGGATGAAGCTGGAAACCATCATTCTCAGCAAACTATTGCAAGGACAAAAAACCAAACACCGCATGTTCTCACTCATAGGTGGGAATTGAACAATGAGAACACGTGGACACTGGAAGGGGAACATCACACATCGGGGCTTGTTGTGGGGTGGGAGGAGCAGGGAGGGATAGCATTAGGAGATATACCTAATGTAAATGACAGGTTAATGGGTGCAGCACACCAACATGGCACATGTTTACATATGCAACTAACCTGCACGTTGTGCACATGTACCCTAAAACTTAAAGTATAATAAAAATAAAAAATAAAAAAATGTTTAAAATCATAGACTTAGGCACTAGAAGATCTTGGTTTGAATCTAGCACTACTACTTACTACTTGTGTAACACTGGATAAGTTATTTAGTTTATTTCTATCTCTATAAAATGCTACCTCCTAAAATTGTGATGTTTAAAATACATGAGCTAGCAAGTGTAAAATAATGAACTAAAGCTTACTGTCTTATTAATTTTGTTTTACTGTTGTACTGTAGCAAAATACCTCAATACAAAATGGGATTTGAGATCCTGTAGGGATGAATAAAGAGATTTTTAAAATTAGAAATGGGGCCTCACTATGTTGCCCACGCTGGCTTTGAACTCCTGGTTGCAACTGATCCTCCCTCCTCAGTTCTTTGAGTAGCTGGGACTACAGGCTCACACCACTACATCTGGCTGAAGAAAAATTTTAATTTATTATGCTTTAAGTTCTGGGGTACATGTGCAAAATGAGTAGGTTTGTTACATAGGTATACATGTGCCACGTTGGTGTGCTGCACCCATCAACCCGTCATCTACATTAGGTAATTCTCCTAATGCTATCCCTCCCCCAACCCCCTACCCGCCGATAGGCCCCAGTGTGTGATGTTCCCCTCCCTGTGTCCATGTGTTCTCATTGTCAACTCCCACTTATGAGTGAGAACATGTGGTGTTTGGTTTTCTGATTTTGTGTTAGTTTGCTGAGAATAATGATTTCCAGCTTCATCCATATCCCTGCAAAGGACATTAACTCATTTTTTTGTGGCTGCACAGTATTCCATGGTGTATACGTGCCACATTTTCTTTATCCAGTCTATCACTGATGGACATGTCAGTTGGTTCCAAGTCTTTGCTACTGTGAACAGTGACGCAATAAACATAGGTGTGCATGTGTCTTTATGGTAGAATGATTTAAACACCTTTGGGTATATACCCAGTAATAGGATTGCTGGGTCAAATGGTATTTCTGGTTTTAGATCCTTGAGGAATCGCCACACTGTCTTCCACAAAATATTTTTAAAGGGATTTACAGAGACATCTGATAAAGAAGATTACTTATAGTTTGCTTTGTGTGTACAAGTTTCCCCAAGAAAATTCCACAACATTTACATTACTGACCAATGCTTTTGAAGTTGGACTTGCTTTTGCAGAGAATGTCAGAAGTTCTGAGTCTGTTCTCAGAGTGGACTGGGTGCAAGAGAAAGGGCTGCTCAAAGGGTTTAGTCACATTTTTATTACATAAGTAAAAGGCTATTAGAGGCTGGCACATAATAAGTCCCCAATACATAGGAGCTATTATTCTACTGATGCCATGCACTCTAAAAGAGGCATGTAGTTGGCTGAACGGGGGCCTGCAGAAAGGACACATCCTTATCCCCATATCTGTGAATATTGCTTTATATGGTGAAAGATGTGATTAAGTAAAGGGTCTTGCAAGGAGGAATTTATTCTGGATTATCTAGGTGAGCCCTTATGCAATGATATGCTTTTCCAAAAAATGAATATTAGGCAGAGAGGTTTAAGACATATGAGACAGCCACATGACCATGGAGGCAGAGATTGCAGTGATTTGGCCACAAGACAAGGAACTACTGGAGGCAGCAGAAGATGGAAGAGGCAAGGAACAGATTTTCCCTTAAAACCATTAGAGGGAGCATTGCCCTCCTAATACTTCGATTTCATGCTTCTGGCCTTCAGAGATGGGAGAGAATACATTTCTGTTCTTTTAAGTCATCCAGTTTGTTGTAATTTGCTACTGATGCTAAAAGAAACAAATATAAAACAGTCAGCTCAGCTTGTGAATACAGGTACTGCCTTCTGAGCTGAAGAAACCTTGAAGGGAAAAAAAGATCTCAGCCAGTTACTACTACATGTAAGTCATCAATTAAAAAAAAAAAGAAAGAAAAGGAAAAAAGAAACCATCACAAGACATGAAACAGCATGATTTTTAAAGGTAACATAATGCTAAGAAAGCATGAATTGTGGCCATGGATAAGAGATGAAATCAGAGACATAGACTAGGTCTTCATATAGCACAGCTAAGGAGTCAAAACTTCTCTATGTTTTTGGCATCAGTATCACCTCAGAGTTTTTTTTTTTTTAAATGCAAAGTTAGGAGCCACACTCCAAACGTTATTCTAATAGAATCTGCATTTTAACAAGATTCCCGAATCATTTTATACACTCTAAAGTTTGAGAAGCATGCCTCTTCTCAAAGTAAGAGGTAAGGCTATTAAGAAATCTTGAAAGATTTAAAGCAGAGAACTGACAAGATAATATTTGCATTTCAGATCAACCAATCCAAAGGTATTTTGAAGAACAGATTTAACTGGGATAAAACCCAAATCAGAGACAAGTGACTTCAACAGTACTTGTTACAGATTATAAACTTTTGAACAAAGATATGGGTAAATATAGACGGCGGAAATGACATAAATTTAAGAAATATTTAAACCCTGGTGTGATATATAGTAACGCTGCTTTCACCTAGGTTCTATAATGTGTCTGCTTATTCGTGCCTATATTTCTAAAAGGATCTTAGAACAGACTTCTTTCTGTTTGTCCTAGTTTCTATTGAGGCACCAATAGATGATAAGACACCTGAGTATGAGATATATTCTTCCCTACATATACAGGTTTACTAAAGAAATGGATCCAAGAAACTGTTACATGATTCTTTGAGCCTTCAACCAGAAATCAAAGATATTTTTTAAAAAGTGTCAGAGAAGTAGAGGAGAAACTTCTTGGGAGAGCTGTTACAGTGTTATGAGTACCCACCCCCTCTAGGGAATAGGCATACATGAGTATTACCTTCTAACCTCAAGGGAAGCAAGGGGTATCACAAGGGGACTATAGAAAAGCTTTGAAATGCGTTTTATGCGGTTAGAAAACCCAAGGCCGGATGTGGTAGCTCACGCCTGTAATCCCAGCACTTTGGGAGACTGACATGGGAGGATTGCTTGAGGTGAGGAGTTGGAGACCAGATATAATGAGTCCCTGTCTCTACAAAAAAAAAAAGTTAATTAAAAAAAAAAAAAAAAAAAAGAAAACCCAAAGAAGTAGTGCTGCACTGACACTAGAAAAAGCTAAAGTGGATGGCAGATTGGGGTCTAACTTCACCTCAGGTAATTTAGAGGCTAAAAGGATGACTGTCTGCTTGGTGGTAGAGCCAGGAGGGTACTGTTGCTTTAAGACTGGCCTTCATTCTTAAAGCTTATCAGGGCAAGGAATGTAAGCCACCAAAAGGAGAGTTAGAGTAGATCATTCTATTTTGGTTTAAATTTTGTTTATATTTTAAAATTATTTCCCAGGAGTATAGATTCAAGTTGTTCTGAATATAAAATCCCTAGTGTGGGTCATTCTGGGTTCTATATTAGTGAAGTTTCTCAGATCTCCAGAGAAACAGAGTCAATATAGATAGATGATTGGTAGATTAGATAGATAGATAGATAGATAGATAGACAGACAGACAGCTATGGGTGATATAGACATAAATATAGATGAGGGGATTTATTACGGGTATTAGCTCATGTGATTATGGATACTGTGAAGTCCGAAAATATGCTGTTTGCTAGCTGGAGAACCAGAAAAGCCAGTAGTGTGATTCAGTCTGGGTCCAAAGGCCTGAGGACCAGGGAAGCCGATAGTGTAACTCCCACTCTGAGGCCAAAAACTGGGAGAAGTGGGGGTGGGAGTGGGGTGCTGGTGTAAGTCCCAGAGTCCAAGGCCCAAAAACCAGGAGCACTGATGTGCAACAGGAGAACAGGATTGGTGTCCCAGCTCCAGAAGAGAGCAAATTTGCTCTGCTTACGACTTTTTGTTCTATCAGGAAGGTCTAAACACTGGATATGCCTGCCCATATTGTCAAGGGTGGATCTTCTTTACTCAGTCTACTAATAAAAATACTAATCTCTTTTGGAGGTACCCCCAAAGACACACCCAGAAATAATGTTTTACCAGCTATCTTGGCATGCCTTAGGCAAGTCGACACGTGAAATTAACCATCACAGGTTCTCTCCAATAAAACCAGCTGGAGGAGTAAGGAATTCCCCTCAATAAAGAAAGTGTAGGTGCACAGCAGATTTCCCAGAAGTGGAGGAAGGAAAGATGCATCGGCCAGAGAAATGCAGGAGTTGGGAGGGTGTAGTTGAGAAACTTCAAGGAGTCCTCAAAAGTGTTTCCCAAGAAAAAGTTTGTTTTAATCCTTTACTGGAACTTGCCAGGAATCCTTGCCTTTAGATCCAGAGAGGGAAACCTCTGGGCTTTGCAATCAAGCACGAAATTTCCTATATCTGTCTGGACACAGTGGCTCACACCTGTAATCCCAGCACTTGTGGGAGGCAGAGGCAGGCAGATCACTTGAGGCCAGGAGATTGAGACTAGTTTGGCCAACATGGCGAAACCCCTTCTCTACTAAAAACACAAAAATTAGACAGGCATGGTGATGCAAGCCTGTAATCTCAGCTACTAGGGAGGCTGAGGCATGAGAATTGCTTGAGCCCAGGTGGCAGAGGCTGTAGTGAGCCAAGATCACACCAGTGCACTCCAGCCTGGGTGACAGAGCGAGACTCTGTCTTAAATAAATAAAGAAATAAATAAATATAGAGAAGCTTGCTATATCTCCTAATTTCCTGATCTTTTCTCAATCCCCCAACTATTAAGGGACATGTGTAGCCTTGGAAATGAGAGATAAGTGGGGTGGGAGGATGTCATGATATGGAGAAAGGAGAGAGAAGAAGGTCCACTCTACTTCCTCAGTTCAGGCTCTCAGCCTCAAGTAGCCTTATGCTGGGGGAAAAGGAAAAGAATTAATACTAAATTCAATTCTGAATTTTTATTATTACATAGTACTATAGTCTAGTTGCAAGAGTCTAATTGGAAAAGTGTTTGTGACCTACAACGATTACGAAATGTTATATTACTTAAAAGCAAACAACAACAAAGCCGTAGATCCCACCAGAGTTTTCATCTAAGTACAGGAAATCCCCACCAATCAACTCCACCCACCTCCAGCACCAAGTAGAATTTAAAGAAACTGTAAGAGAAAAAAAATAAAGTTTAATTTTGGATATGTCAAAAGCTATGCTTACTCAACATAAAAACAACATTTACACTTTTAGTAAATATTGCTTTTTAAAATGTTATTTTTTAAACTTCTGACATCTGGCAAGTTGAGTTGGTTCCATCAGGTCAGAAGATAGCTAAACAGGAAAAGACAAAATTCTGAGACTGATGTCAGCTGTGGGTATTGGTAACCTCTATTCATATCAGGTGGAAGGTTGTCTCAACACACAAACTTGCTATTCCTAGAATATAGTTGTCCACTTTCAGAGTCTCAAACTGCAAGAGGATATTACATTCTTTCTGCTTTCATAAAAGAAAAAACAATAATTAGTGCTACATACATAATAAAATTGCCACTTAATCTTGTTGTGCTTATATATGTATTTATAAGTCCTTGCTGTGTCTTTGTGAAAGTTAAAAAAAAAAAGGAGACATTCTCCCAAAGAGCATATATATGTCAGCAATTATTTGTAAAAATTCACTTTAGTGATTAAATAGCCAAGGCTGTGCAGAGTATTTAAATCTGAGACTTTATGTTCAGGCAAGGACAATTTTTCACTTTGTTCATTAATTAATTGTACCAAGATTTTAAATTTTAAAATGAGATATTAGTGAAACCAATATCATATTATTAGGGAAGACCTTATTTTAATGCAACCTTGAATATATAGTTTAAATACTGATTTGCTAAAATTACCCCTATTTTTCTTTCTTCTGCATAATGGCAAAATAAACAACAAGTGATAGAGCTGTAACCAAACAGAGCATCTCCTTTTCTAGAAAATACTGATATCCTGGGTGGAAAAAACAAAACCTTTTTAATAAAGAAGAAAATAAAGTAACCCATAATTGGTTCATCATCAGTCCTGAGGGTTGCCCTTCTTTATGAAATTTCATAGTTTGCCAAAAGATGTGGTTCCTGTATCCAGCACAGAAGCTGAAAGTGATAGAGAAGATAAGGATACTTTTTCTAACACTGAGAAACTGTGACCACCACAACTGGCAAGGGCCTTTGACGGGAAGAAGTTTCCACTTTAGAGCATAGGCCAAGCGGCTCTGAGATGTTTTCTTTCAGCTAAATGGTAAATGTGTCAGAGACTCGATTTCCTTATTTGTTTAACCTAGGTAATAATTAATAAACTTAACTATCAGAAAGAAGAGCATAGCACAATGCCTGGCAAACAGCAAGTTAAGTGTTCAGCAAGTCAGCTATCATCTGTAAAAGGTGCAACATCGTTTTCTTGTCTTGTTACTTTGCCAACTCATAGTAGTTGCTCAATATATATCAATTGAATGAATGGATGAAACTTCAAATTAACCAAGAGAACTAGCTAAATAAATATTTTAGTTTCAGCCTCTTGAGCCTATGAAATCCGAATCTCATGCCTGACTTGAACCTTGCCCTTCCTGACCCATAATTCTGTAAAAGCTGCCTGCCTGGCCTGTGATTTGATTGACTTCAATTTCCCCAGTCCTGCTTGAGCTGCTAAGGTGGCATTTCAGTCTCCAGCCTGTTTCATCCATTTAAGTTCTGTAGAAACACAGAACTTGTTAAATATCTTAACAAGAAGAAAAAAAAACTTGGCAACTCATATCTAAACTTGGAAGGGTGCTAAATCTATCAAAATAGTTATTGAAAATTATTTTAAACAGAAACTTGACATGAATAATACTAAGTAGCCCCTTAACTTTTAAATATTTTAATTTCACTTTTACTATAATAGTTCCATAGTGATGACTCTTCAACATATTTATGTAAAAAAAATTTTTCTTCAAAATTTAGATACAATTTTTGAGGAATTTACTGTTTCTTATAGAGCTCCTTAGGAGTTTCACTCTTTCTTGGGGGAGAGTTGTATACTTGCCCGAACCCCAACCCTGAAAATCACTGAAATGCTGCTACTTAGCCTTGTTTTCCATTCATGACAGTTCTGGCATTACAGTCTACTGGGAAACTCTCAATTTTATTTTGTAACTATTGCCCAACTTTAAAAGGAATGCTCAAGTTTAGTAATCTTGGTAGAATTCTCATACTTATATGTATTATATAATTGGTGGGGGAAGAAAATGTTAGTACTCCTACTTTGATATTAATTCTCTTGTCAAATATGTTGAGATGCTTCACGATCATTCAGAGTTTTTCAAAATAAAAATTCATGGAATTAATCATAGAGGAGACAAATTTTGTAAAAGGAATTTAATTTTAGGGTTTAAAAGCAACAAATTCTCCACATAGGGAAGTGAAGATTCAGAAGGCATGTAGTAAGTAAAGAATTTGGGCTTGCTCAAAGAGAAGGCCTAGCCTTATAGGATTGTCTGTTTGTCTGGGGGACTTGGGTCAAAGTAGGTATCTAGCAATGTGATTTAGGGTGGGGACTAGCCACACATATACAGTTTTATGTTTGGGGCTAGACAACCAAAAATACCAACAACATAACTTAAGTGAGGAGCTTTGGGTCACACAGTGTCACAGTATCAATGGTCCTGGATTCTAAGATTAACCAAATGGGCAACAATCAATCAATTATGCCTATATGATGAAGCTCCCCCCAAAAAACCACTCACAATACTCAGGTAAACTTCCCTGATTTGCAATACTATATGCATACTGTCACACGTAGATGACAGAACAGTGATATCCTGATTTCATGGCTAGAAGTCAAGTGAAATTTCATATTTAAAACTCTCCTGGACAACGTTCTATGTGTGTCTTTCTTTGGCTGATCTTAATCTGTACCCTCTCCATTTAATAAACCATAACCATGAGTATAACAGCTTTCAGTGAGTTCTTTGAGTCTTTCTAGCAAATTATCAAAACTGATCTGGTTTGGGGGACTCTTTAAACCTCCAGTTGGCTTCAGAAATTAGGGTGGGTACTGTGCCTCTAAGTTTGTAATTGGCCCAAACTTCTCAGGGGATTTCCAGGTTTGTTTTAATAAAAAAAAATCACAGCAAATTAACTTGGCTGTCATTTTAAAAGTACCAAGCTGTATTACAATGGTGCAGGATAAAAGTTATGCTGATTTTGGCTTATCCTTAAGGTAAGCACAACCTGTCTTTGAAGTCTAAAGATCAATGACATCTTTAATGTATAAAACTGTATAATAAAAAACATTTTCCACACTGTTATTAGGTTCTCCCATAAGAAAAGTCTTAAAATAGAGGGTGGGAAATACCTCTTTCAAGTATCAAAAAGCCTCACAAATTAAAGCCAGGATGGCAACAAATTGAAAAATAGTGAGTGACATATGATTTCCTTCATAAGAAGTTCAAAATCAGGAATACTAGTCTATGTTTATAGAGATCAGAATAGTGGCTAATTTGGGGTGGGTGAGGTGGGGTAGGGATTTAGGTGCTGACTAGGAGGAATCATAAGGGAGTTGTATGGAGTGTTGGAAATGTTATAAATCCTGATTTGGGTGGTGGTTATGTTGTAGAAAAAAATGGGTTCCTGTCACATGAACAGGAGAAGTTAGGCACACAAACAGTTTGAAGAGTGAGGAGAAATAGAATTTACTAGGCAAAAAGGAAAAAAACCTCTCAGCAAAGCCAGAGGGGTTCCTGTTAACACACCACCATCTCACAGACTGAATCCCAGGTCACCACATAGGAACTGAAGAACCCAGGCTCCTCCCCACTGCAAATGGCGTGAACTTCACAAGGCTCCACTCCAACCCCCCCAGTGCGCAGGCTGGTCAGAGATTCTCTGGGGACCCTCCCCCTTATCTTCCTCCTATGTCTATCATTCCTCCCACTAAAGAAGTACATCTAAGTGCTGTTAGGATAAAGATAAGGACAAAGACCGATCTTAACTGCTTCCTGTTGACAAGGAGTGCTGTTTGGAGAAAACAGCAGTTAGAGCTCCCTCAGAGGACTATCTAAGGGTCCCTAGCAAAAAGGGCCATTGTCCGAGGCCCCGGATGCATGACTGTTTAGAATCTGATGGCCTGAAAGGGAGAAGAGACAATTCAGTTATTAGAAAACATGTATCGAAATGAAACAAGGGTGGAGTAAGGACAGCTCAAAAATCCCAAGGCCCTTTACCAATTTGCACAGGGAGAGGGAGGCCAAAAACCCAGCTGTTTACTTTTGCCAGCATGTCAGGCTTCTGGGTTCCCTTCCCCCGAGCCCAATCCTAAGCCAACCAGTCTAAGGTTTGGGAAATTAACTCTGGCAAGATTGGAGTATGCATTTGAGGAGAGTGTCCTGTAGTACAAAGACACAATTACCTATCTAAGAGAGGACAGAGGAGGAAAAAAGAAAAAAGACTCCTGTTTCAAAGGAGCCCCAGGGGTTCAGGATGCATTCGAAAGGGGTACAGACTGAAGATGAATGCCTAATGATCTAGAAAGAGGGGAGCAGGCATCCCTGGTTCCCATCTCTTCCTAGCAAATAACTGGGATACATGAGAGAGAGGAAGCAAGGCATTGCTCTTTCTTTCCTCTGTTACTGTATCCCTGAGTCCTGGCAACTGCAACAGGGTGCCACCCATGGTTGTCAAAGTGACTTTCACCCATGTTAACAGGGTGGGGGGGCAGGGAATGGGAGTATTTGCTCTTACCCACTTACGCCCTATCTCCCCTGCTGTCAGTAGCCTTTGAATTCCCTAGACCTCATTTATGCCATGGATACTAGAATGACCTTTATCCATGAAATAGAAAGCTTGGCCTAATTGGCAGGAATTAGTCATGCTCACCTGCACTATGCCTTTTAACTTTTTTTTTTTTTTTTTTTTTTGAGACAGAGTCTCACTCTGTCACCCAGGCTGGAGTGCAGTGGCGCAATCTCGGCTCACTGCAAGCTCCGCCTCCTGGTTTCACGCCATTCTCCTGCCTCAGCCTCCCGAGTAGCTGGGACTACAGGTGCCCACCACCACACCTGGCTAATTTTTTGTATTTTTAGTAGAGACAGGATTTCACCATGTTAGCCAGGATGGTCTTGATCTCCTGACCTCGTGGTCCGCCCTCCTCGGCCTCCCAAAGTGCTGGGATTACAGGCGTGAGCCACCATGCCCGGCCGCCCTTTAACTTCTGTTATCATTTGCCTCTGGATACCTCAGATCCATTTTTTCTTTCTAGGGCTTTGAACCAAAGCTTGGAATTGAGTTTGGGACAAAATGTGTCTCAGGGGGAGTTGCATGGACTCCTTATCATGAGCTGCCAAATGCTAGGGTATAGCTGTGGAATGGAGTACTCCTCCAACAAGGGAAGGAAAAGGATGTCTTGTGATATGCCCAGATAACTTGTCGCTATAGTTATGCTTGCTAAGATTTGGGTGCATGGTGCTCGGCTCTGGTTAGCTCCCTTGGTCTTACTTTCCCAAAAAGGAAACCTGCAAGTAATAGACATCCTATTTATTTCCATGACCTGGAAGGATTTGCAGGATAATTATTCAGAACTAGAATATTGATCTAGATTTTTACATTACCCATCCCTCTTGTTCCTTCTGAGCTGCAGCTGGAGATTGCTGATCGGTTCACAGGAACAAGAAGGGTTAGTCTAAAATGTAGGCAAAGTCTTAAAAACAGCTAATGAGTGTAGAATCTAATGGCAAATGTATGATAAGTTTTGAAACATGAGGATCCTCAGTTTTGTAAAAAAAACAAATCATGATGGGATCGAGTTTGCAAAATAGACTTTAGTCTTATACTTGGCCTGATTATTTGCATAAAATGCAGCAAGAATAATTATTTCTTTTAGAAACAGGGCTTTTAGATTGGCTTTGATGGAACTCTGTTCCACAAGGAATCTCAGATAAGACCTTTTAAAGCCGAGCCCAGCCATGGGTTTGTACCCTCAAATACCTGTGAGTTGGGTAATCCTCTCCTCTTAAGGTCCCAAGATAAACTTGGAGCTCCTGGGCCTGTCAGGAAGTGACATTCTTTACTTACCACATGTCAGAAAACCTAAAAGGACTGCATAGACAAGGGTATGAGGCCAGTTTTCCCAAGGGGCTTTTATCAGCTCTGCAAGTTGAACTTGACTCCTTAAAGGAAAGCATATACCCTTCCAGTCAAAGCCTTGTTAAAACAACCAGTTTCTCCAATTGCATCCTGTTGCAAAAGAAAATAGATTCTTATTGCACTGATGTAAACAACTATATTGCCATGAGTTAAGAATACTCATAACAGCCGGGCACGGTGGCTCACGCCTGGAATCCCAGCACTTTGGGAGGCCGAGGCGGGAGGATCACCTGAGGTCCAGAGTTCAAGATCAGCCTGGCCAACACAGTGAAACCCAATCTCTACTAAATATATAAAAATTAGCCAGGCACGGTGGTGCGCATCTGTAATCCCAACTACTCAGGAGGCTGAGGCAGGAGAATTGCTTGAACCCGGGAAGTGGAGGTTGCAGTGAGCCAAGATTGCATTACTACACTCCAGCCTTAGAGTGAGACTCTGACTCAAAAAAAAAAAAAAATAATACTCATAACTAGTTTCCATATTCTGGAAAAGCCAAGCAGAAAGAGAGACAAACATGCTCCGGATTTTGTTCAGAGGAGTATAATTTTCTCAATTATTAAAGGCTGTAAATAGTTCAAAATAAATTTCCTGGACTCTGAAAAACAAAACAAGGATCAGCAATATTCCATGCAAAAGTCAAAAAGATTGATTCAGTTTTCTATGAGTTCAGTCCATTTAGTTAACTCTTGTGTTGCTTGGTATCAGTGAACATTTTGGCTCTTCATGAGTCCTGTGCATTTTTCCTTTATTCCAATGTCACATTTCCAAAGTTATCAGAAACCTGTATTGGAGAGCACCTGTCAGAGTACTATAGCTTATTATAAACCATCTTTTGAAAAGGATTGAAACAAGACAATTGTCTGTGAATAACAAAATGTCCATAGAAGTTTCATTATCTCTGTGTTTTACAATAACTTAACATAAGTACCTTAATTATGATTGATAGCATATACTTTAGACATTAGAACTTTAGAAATGTCATACAATTTTGGAACATATATTAGTATTATCCACCAAAATATAACCTAAAGAAGATTGAACACCATTTTGGCAATCCCATGCAGCTAAACATGTCAAATAATCCTGTTTACCTCTCTTTTAAATACTCCAGGGGCCCTCTGTAGCATCTAAAAGCCAGGCATCAGCAAAGACAATTTCAAAACTGAAGTTTGATTTTGGGAAGCCTTTTAAATATGAAGAGGTTTAAAATACTTGATGTTATGAAACGAAACTCCAGATTACCATAAGTTATTTATTTTGCCAAAATGACTCAGAAATGTAAAAAAGTAAAAACCTTTTGTAACTCTTCATAAATTTTGCTAAAGAGCAGATTAGTGCCTTAAGAGTATCTTGTTGTGCTTTTATTTCAATGCTCAATTTACAGAAAAACCATGTAACACCCTTTTGAATTTAGTCAATATATTCACCCATGCAATTTTTGCAAGATTAATTTTTACAATCCTTCCACCACTTGTTTGAACTTTAGCTTTATCTTATCTAATTTAAAACAATTCTTTAACCCTAGGCAAGAATTTACACTTCCATGCCTTTTTATAATCTTTTACTAAAAAAAGTTACTGTTCTTACACACCAAACATGTAAATCTATTTCTAGTAGTTTATGTTTTAATGTTATAATGTTATAATGGTAACTCCCAGCAATTTTTAACTTTAATATAAAACCTAGCAAGTAGCTTTAATTATGCAGTAGGTGCAGCCAAGGTTTGATTCCTTCCAGCATACTTAAGGGCATAGTCAATTTTATATGTCCCTGGGCCTTACCAATTGTGGAACAGGCAATTCAAAGAGTTCTCACAACCCAAAAAGCAGTATAACTTTAAAACATTTAGCAAACTAGTATCAGACCTGCATAATTTAGTTCACTTACTTACATTTTGATGATATCTGGGATTTTACCAATAATCTTTTTTTTTTTTTTTTAGATGGAGTTTAGCTCTTGTTGCCCAGTCTGGAGTGCAATAGTGTGATCTCGGCTCACTGCAACCTCTTCCTCCTGGGTTCAAGTGATTCTCCTGCCCCAGTCTCCCAAGTAGTTGGGATTACAGGCATGCACCACCACACCCAGCTAATTTTATATTTTTTTTAGTAGAGATGGGGTTTTGCCATGTTGGTCATGCTGGTCTTGAACTCCTGACCTCAAGTGATCCACCTGTCTCGGTCTCCCAAAATGTTGGGATTACAGGCATGAGCCACCGCACCTGGCCCCTATAATCTTTAAGGCTGTTTTTTACTTCTCAAAGATTAAAGTCACATGAATTAAAAAGTATCACAGCTTTTATCTTCCCTTTGAAAAATATTTGATGCAAGCACTCATTTTCCTTTAGGCCAATTAAAGCTATTTTTATAGACATCACAAACACAACACATACATAAAACTACACAGACAGGCATAAGAAAACCCAGTTGCCATAAGATCTTTTGCTTGCCAGTCTCCTACTTGGATTACTGGCCTCCTGGTGGAGCCCTTTAAGAGACAGGGCCAGGAAAACACATAGCCTCTAAGGCCTAATAAACAGGCATAACTGGGGGCAAAAACAGATTTTGAGAGGAATCTATCCACTTTTAATTCCATTAGGAAAACAGAGGTCTCTCCCTTCTCATGCATGCATTGAAAGTGGCAAGGCAAAACGGAGAAAAAGAATTCCATTCACTGAGAACAAAACTTTTTCCACTGGGAGGCCGAGGCAGGTGGATCACAAGGTCAGGAGTTCAACACCAGCCTGGCCAAGATGGTGAAACCCCGTCTCTACTAAAAATACAAAAATTAGCTGGGTGCAGTGGCAGGTGCCTGCAATTCCAGCTACTTGGGAGGCTGAGGCAGGAGAATTACTTGAACCTGGGAGGCAAAGATTACAGTGAGCCGAGATCGTGCCACTGTACTTCAGCCTGGGCAACAGAGTGAGACTCCGTCTCAAAACAAAACAAAACAAAACAAAACAAAAAAACACTTTTTCCAGCCAAACAAGATCCCAGAAGAGAAAAACATTAAGATCTTTTAAATATACCTATAATTTGGATATCCACTTTCAATTAAGCTGAATGCTCTTTAAGAAAATCCTTTTAACACCTTATTACCTGACTTTAGCTGTGCCAAGCGGCCAATATTTCTGGCTTTCAAACTTTACTGAAAGCTCAGGGAAAGGAAAATCCGAGGTGGTTCATGTAGAGGAAGAGAATCAATAAATGGCAAAGGTCGCACAGATATCAAAGCAGAAAGGAGTCATTTCTTTTTTTTTTTTTTTAGGTGTATTATACATTTCTTCTCTTTTTTTTTTTTTTAATTATACTTTAAGTTTTAGGGTACATGTGCACATTGTGCAGGTTAGTTACATATGTATACATGTGCCATGCTGGTGCACTGCACCCACTAACTCGTCATCTAGCATTAGGTATATCTCCCAATGCTATCCCTCCCCCCTCCCCCCACCCCACAACAGTCCCCAGAGTGTAATATTCCCCTTCCTGTGTCCATGTGATCTCATTGTTCAATTCCCACCTATGAGTGAGAACATGCACACATATGTTTATTGTGGCATTATTCACAATAGCAAAGACTTGGAACCGACCCAAATGTCCAACAATGATAGACTGGATTAAGAAAATGTGGCACATATACACCATGGAATACTATGCAGCCATAAAAAATGATGCGTTCATGTCCTTTGTAGGGACATGGATGAAATTGGAAAACATCATTCTCAGTAAACTATTGCAAGAACAAAAAACCAAACAGGAGTCATTTCTTAAGCCAGGATTGAATCTTGGCTGTGTAGACGCTAAACAAAGCATTGCCACAGGGTTACACATCATGCTCTCAAGGACCTAAAACAAGAGGGAGGCCCACAGCAAACTTTGTTGCTGATCATTCAGAAAGTCATGCAAAGCACACCGGATTGGCTATCGCTTAAGACCAATCTCACAAATCCTTTTTCATAACTGAAACTTTACAGAGAATATAAACAGTGATCACTGGGGTCCTGGCCTGGTTAAAATGTTTTCCAAAAAGAAAAAAAAAAAGTAACCCTCTCACATAAAAATTAACTGCTGACTAGATAGCGAAAAGGAAACAAAAGTTAAAGTGCAGGGTTGGAAAGATGCCTGGGGGAAGAACTTCATATTCTTTTGCAAATTGGTTCCTTTCCCCCAGGCATGGACCCAGCAGGAGTCTGGCCAGCCAGCTGTGCAGAGCCCAAGCCCCCAAGGCGGCCCTGGTGCCTGGATAGTGACTGTGGCTCATTCCTGCCATGCAGCTGGACACTGCACACACATGTGGCAGTCAGGGCCATGCACTCCACTCAGCTGGGAGAGAAGGCGGGTGGGGAGCCACTGCTTGCCCAACCAACCCACAGGCATGCTTGTGGCTGTTGTGGTGGGTGTGGACCACCTCCCATATTGTAAAAGAAAAGAAAAGAGAGGGGAGGGGAGGGGAGGGGAGGGGAGGAGAAAAGATAGATGCTGTTACTGTCCTCAAAAAAAGAAGAAAAATGTCATAGGAACAAAATACTCAGAAATAAAAGTGAGAGGTTTTCAGTCCACATTTCACTCACCCTTCTTCATGTCCCAAGTTCTGGGTGCCAAAAATGTTGAGAAAAAAAAAAAGTTCTTGCCAAGTGACCAGGTAAAATTAGGCATGCAGACACTTTGCAGGGTGAGGGGGAATGGAATTTACTGGGCAAAAAGGAAAAAAATACTTTGCAAAGCGAGAGGGGTTCCTGTTAACAGGCCTCACAGATTGAATCCCAGGTCACCACACAGGAACTGATGAGCCCAGGCTCCTGCCCCCTGCAAATGGCGTGAATTTCCTGAGGCTCCACCCCATCCTCCCCATGCCCAGGCCAGTGGGAGCTTCTCCCAGGACCCTCCCTTATCGTCCTCCTGCATCTATCAGTTGCATGAAGTGGTGTATAGCACTGTTCACTTAAGGTTTCTATACTTTGGAACACTTCAATGTTTAAAAAAGCTATAGCTCAATTTTTAAAAGTTCTTGGTCAAATAATAAAGGAAACACTATTATAAAAAGAAAATTATTTAACAAATACTTACTTATGTCTACTATGTGTCAGGCACTCTGCTGGTACTCGTGGATACAACCTAAAGCAAAAACACAGAAAACTGGCATATACACTGAATCAGCCACTTTTATCCTTTAAACTATCACCAGCAACAAAAGAATTTTAAAATTCAGTAACTTTATATTCTAGAATGAATCCTACAAATACACCTTTTAAGAGTTTACATATGAAAGGTTTTATAAATAAATTCTACCTATACTTATATGATCAATTCAAATTTCAGTTTTCCACAAAGGCTTTTAATCTCCTGCAGCCAACAGGGGCCTATCTTTAATTTAGACTCCTTTTGTATTCATAAAAGAAGTATCACACAACTCAGCACCTAATTGTTTTTGAAAAGTCTTGTGAATGTTAAATTTGTCTCCTACCCAAACTGTAAGTTCTTGTAAATTCCTTGAGAATAGAGATCATATCATATTTTTCTTTGGAATGTTTCACAATGCTTAGCAAAGTGTGGATTATGAGATATATGCTTAATTAGTTGTGGGTAGAGTGAATGAAAATTTCACTTAATCATAAAAATACTTAAGAATAGTTTAAGTTTCAGGAAAAATTAATTTTTAAAATAATTAATATCCAGCATTTTATTTTGCCATCTTCTACTAGCTCAATTTTCATATGCTTGAAAGAGATAAAAGTTATTATTGACATTACATTCCATTCTGTTCCCTGAGGTTCAGTTCTGATAAGAACTGAAGAGAGGCTACCCTTATCTGCTTAATACCAGTATGTTTGCTTTAACTGAGGAAAAGCTTTATGGGTGAAACATTTATCTCTAAATATCTCTTTATCTCTTACAGTAATAGAACCCATGCTTTTTAACTAAGTATATAGTTGCTTAAAATGAGGACTGTATGTTCTAGCTTTCCTTGCAACTGGGTGTCACCATGTGACTTAAGTCTCGTAAATAAAATATGACTGTAAGTGATAGGTATACTTTCTTTTTTTTTTTAATCAATTAGCTAAAAATTTAATTTACATACATGTTGGCCTGGATTAAAAACAAAAAAGTTAGTTTCCATAAATAGCAGACTTTAGGGCTGTATGACCCAATGACTAAAAATAAAACCAGGAAATTTTTACTAAAAGCTCAAGGATAAAAATGAACACTGGCTGGCTATTGAACTCCACATCTGACAATAATTACTGACAGTTTAAAAATGACATCCACAATATAACCTCAAGAGGACCAGGTTTATTTGTCCGACAGAGCAGCTCAAAATGTTGAGGCATCACTTGTTTGGATTATGATGGGTTATTCTCAAAGTTTATTTATTTAGAAGGGGAAAGTGATTATAGAAAAATACTTGAAGTAATTTGCCAATGAAGTCACAGATTCTAACAATAATCCACATCTTAGATTTTTAAGTGTGTAGTTTCATAGTTTAAACAAATTCTGTCAAAGAGCTAGTGAATATACTTTATCACTTTAACTTTCCATGAAAACCAAATAAAAATCACATCTGAATGATTTACTTCTATGCTTTTATCTGATTGTATACATATGATGTACTACACATCCAAGTACAAGAGGCAGTTATCTTCTCTGAGAGGTGCAAGAGTTGTTCTTTCATGAATGCCCTCTAATAGTGAAACCAGCACTTTTTATATATGCATTCATGTGCATATATACGTACTTCAAAAAGCAAAGCGTCATCTCTTCGTCCATTGTTAACTTAATGGTAAGAATGGGGGCCACCAGGCATCAGTGGAGTACCAGAAGGTCCTGAAGGCACTTAGAAAGGATTACTAGGAGTAGGATAGAGTCCTGGTGTGGGATACGATCCTGTAGGGGCAGGATATGGTGCTGGTGGTCCCCAGGCTCCTAGTGGAACGGTGCCCCATGGAACAGGTGGTGCTGCCCCAGAGGCTTGGGGAGGAGGAGGAACAGGATATGGCCCTGGAGATGGATAGGGCATATTAGGGGTAGGATACTGCCCTCCCATTCCTGGCACCCAAGGTCCAGAAGACATGGATCCCCATGGACCTAAAGGACCAGCTGCAGCTGGATCTGTGGGTAGCACCATATGGTCTGGGTAGCTCTGGAAAGGGCATATTTGGTATAGGATATGGCCCTATGGGCCAGGGCCTGGCACAGTTGAGGCTGGATAAGGACCACCAGGTGGGGGGCATGATGGTTCAGAAGGAGTAAAGGGTGCTGGGGGTCCTGGAGGTGGTCCGGTGGGAGGCACGGAGAGATACATTCCTGTTGGTACTGGTCCAAAAGGCACAGTGGAGGGTGTTGCACTTGGTGGGAGTCCAGATGGCACCGAAGGTGGAGTACTCGGATTATTCCAAGGGTTGGAGCCTGGTCAGCTTTGAGGAGGTTGGCCAGGTTTTGTATTGCTCACAGCAGAGGTTTTGGCAGGGGAGTGTTCAGGTAGTGCATCTGCCAACGAAAATTCATCAGACATTTTCCCAGCAATATCCGAGACTGCAGGAGGGTCTAGAAGCGGCGATGTGTCCAAGGGACTGGGCCCTGAAGAAGCAGGCGCAGCCTGACTGACTGCAGCGAGAGCAGCGGCGGCAACAGCACCAGCAGCACCAGCAGCGCACGGCTCCTCCTCGATAGGTGTACTTTCAACTCATGTTCCCAAAGATATGTCCTTTTCTTCTCCTCTTCCTTTAGACTGCTGCTTGAAATATATATGGTCATGACTGTGAGCCATTTTGAACTATTAGATGAAAACAACACTCTAGAAATGGCAAAGTGACAAGAAAGAAGGTACTCTCGTCCCGGGATGACTAAATTGAGAAAGCAACTACACAATTTCAGGAGTACCCATCACTAGCCTATTATATGAGAAGAAAACTCTATTAAGTTGTTGGTTTGGGGTCTCATATCCTAACTTATCTCTTGGAGGAATGATAGAAAGACAACAGTTGGCAAGGAATGATTCTTCCCTTTTCACACAATGCTTTAAGGATAAATATATTTCAGCCCCAAACTTTGGTGGATTATTTGCTTGTATAAGAAAGTCAAATCTAGTTTCAGATATTAAAGGCTAGATAAAAATCATTAGTTTTGAAGCTAATTACTTCCAATTTTCTTTTCTCTAGGTCTCATGCACACACACTAACATATGTTCATAGGTATACCCACATTTATCATGGGGTATCACCTGGCATTTAGGAAACCAATTGGACACCAGGTTAAATTAACCAGTGACAACTGTGACTTGTAGTTTTCATTTCATATGTTTATATTGACTGAGAATGGTGTTGCTTTTTGCAACCTAATCTATGACTGCATTCTTGAAATTGGATTTTGTCTGATTTTTGTATTTTATAAAAATTTAATATCTCACTACCTGATTGGAAGTAGTTTAAAATATTTTTGCAATGAACAATTCATAATTTCAAGGACACCAAAAGAAACATGGCTTTCATATTGCATATTCACTTCAAAATTTATATAGCTATACATTCCTCAACACATTAAATGTTCCCTGTATTTTCAAACATCCTCTACTTCTTCCCTCCTGTGTCCCAGGAAAACTTCTCTCTACCAAGGTTAAGAATAACTTCACCCACAGACTTCAGTGTATCCTTGTCTGCCTTTACCTTATTATTTCCTTACTTGATTCACTTCTTATAGGTTCTTTCCTTCTATTTATATGTTTTTTTTTCTATCCTAAAAACAACATGCAAGTAACAGTTTTTTTCTGGACCTTGATATTTCTTCCATATATTGCCCTGCATTTTTCATTCATTTATTAGACAAAAACAATTATCATCACTGTTTTCACTTTCTCACTTCTCATTTACTCTCTTACACTTGACATCTAATGCCATGCCTACCATGTTACTAAATTGCTTCAAATCATCAATCACTTAAATTTCCAAAGACATTTACTCAATCTTCACCCTCCTTAACTCTGAAGCAGGAATTACCTTGGTGATTGAAGAAAACTTTTTAAATATACTCTTCGTTTATCTCATAACTCTTTAACCACTCTTTTTTTCTCCTTCATTGGCTCTCTTTCTTCCTTTCGGTACTAATTTTCCTGCATATGTACTGTTTTTTACCCTTTCCATGGTAATATTTTTTAAAAATTTCTTTTGAGGAACTACTCTTTCCTCCCTTTTATTCTGGCACTATTTGGTTTACTATATCTTCATTTTTTGTTTTACTTTTTTTAAATATTGATTATTATTATTTGAAATTTTTTCTTTTCATAGGTTATTGGGGCACAGGTAGTGTTTGGTTACATGAGTAAGTTCTTCACTGGTGATCTGTGAGATTTTGGTGCACCCATCACCTGAGCAGTACACACGCATGCAATTAGTAGCCTTTTATTCCTCACCCCCTTCCCACCCTTTCCCTGAGTCCCAAAGTCCATTGTGTCATTCTTATGCCTTTACATCCTAATAGCTTACCTCCCACTTATGAGTTGAGAATGTAAGATGTTTGGTTTTCCATTCCTGAGTTACTTCACTTAGAATAATAGTCTTCAATCTCATCCAGGTTGCTGTGAATGTCATTAATTCATTCCTTTATATGGATGAGTAGTATTCCATCGTATATATATATCACAGTTTCATTTTTTTGTTTTTCAAATTTCCTATCTTACCATCTAGTCTATTGAATTCCTTCTTTTTTTTTCTCTTATGTGACCTCACTTCTTGAATCCTCCATGCTCTTCTCCAATGTATACTGCTTGCTCTCTAGACTTGCTGCACAGCCATCCTGCAGAGATTTGTCCTTACCTTTCTCTAGCATCAGCATAACTTTTTGTCCTTATTTTGTTGGATTGTATGGCCTAGTGACATTCCAAAAGATCACCCAGGAGAAAAATATTCTACATCCTTGTTAGTCTGAAAATATCTTTATTTTACTCTCATAGTTAATTGATAATTTGAATGAGTATAGACTTGTAGACTGAAAAACATCTACAACTACAATTTTGAAAATATTCTGTCATGTCTTCAGGTATGCAGTGATGCTGATAGCATCAGTCCCTATTCCTTTGTTGATTATAAGTCTTTTATGTTTAGGAACTTTGGGGATTTCTTCTTCTTCATAATTTTTATTTGTGGCATTACATGATAATATCTCCAGGCATGAGTTTTTTAATCTATTTTTCAATACCCTGAGTCTACTCAAATCTGAATAGTTATTTTCTTCTCTGCTCTAAAAAAAAAAAACTTATAATTTTCTCACTCTCCCTCCCCTTTTTTTTAAAAATCTTTCTCATCTACTGGTTGAGCCTATTGGATTGGCTCTCCACGACATTCTTATGTTTTCTTTCTTATTTTCTCTCTGCTATGTATACTATATTCTTATAAGATTTCTTCGATTTTATCTCCAGTACTTCTCTTGAGTTTTTAAGTTAACAAATTTTTAATGTCTGGTAGCTCTTTTTGTTCTATCATTGCTCCTTTTTCAAAGTATCTTATTCATATCTTGTAGACATAATATGTTCTGAATTCCATATTAATTCGGGTGCTTCTTTAAAATCTTTTATTTATGCTTCCTTGCCTTCTTTAGAGTTAGTTTTTCTATGTTTTTCTTTGTATTTTTCTCTCATGATGCTGATTTTCCTTATTTGCCTGTTAATTCTTCATGTTTGTTCATATATATATATATATATATATATATATATATGTATATAAAATTGGTAGTTGATGCAGTTTTCTTTTTGTAGGTAAGAAGTCTGCCAGTTCTCTCTCTCTCCTATGTAGGAATTGTGAATACGTGGCTGGGTTAGGTAGGACAGGGCCAGGAATGCCAAATATGAAGTTTCACTTTACATGAGTAGGCAATTAGCTTATTCTCAGGATGCTGGCCCTGAATGCTTGAATAAGAATGTTTTTCCTTTGTGTCATCAACCTAAAAGTCTTCACTTTTCTGTACTAGTTATTCAATTAATTTGGAGAAGATTTGGGGGGTCAGTTTTGGTCTTTTTGTCTGGTGGCAGATATTAATATCTTTTGCTTGCTCTCAGTCTATATGTCTGAGAAAGCGAAATGTGTATGGTGATAGATTCAATTGTGCCATATTTTATCCCCATTTTCAGCCCTTATTCTCACTTCTGCCCTATCCTGTGTAGCTTCTCCACTATATTTTTTAGGCTATGGTTTTGGTCAAATCACTACTATTTGCTTTGTATCCCAACACATTTTTGAAATTTCATTTGCTTCTCTTGACATCATCTACTTTTTTCTACTCATGTAAGTGCATGCATACAGGCACACATCATCTTTACTCCTTCACTTATTCTTCATTTTTTCTGTTTCTTCATTTTTATTTCTATGGTGTGTAGGAAAGGATAGTAGGCAAATGATATGCCGAGTTCACCATATTGAACAGTAATTCAAGAAAAACCCTTTATATATTGTAAGCACATATTTTGAAACCTGGGTAAAACATATTGCAGGATTCTCCGAAGCTGATTGTCCCTTGGCCCATATGCCCACCTATACAACATTCTTATTCAAAGGGAAATGAAATTACTTTGGGAGAAGCTCACATTTTTTGAGTTGTTTGGTACTTTTAAAAAATCATCTTACTAGTTAAGAAAGAGGAAAGAAATGGTGGTTGAGGAGGCAAACAACACTGTCTGCCATGGTAGTAATCTAACTTTTTTCTTTTCTAATATCATTTATTTAAAAGAGTAGAAAAACATTTTAGAATTGAGTCTTTTATTAATCAGCATTCCTCAAAGGTTAAGCATCAACTTCAGAGCAGGAACTGCACTGGAGTGCAGTAAAGATGGAATTTTAAGACTCGGTGTTGCAGGATAAGGCAGGGGTGAAAAAGGGCAGGGAAGAAGTGACTGACAATAGATAAAATAAGAAAGGCCTAGAAGCTGAGGCTATGGCACACTGGTGAGCTAGGCAGACCTAGTGCACACACATACTGAAGGAGGTATCCAGAGACTGATGGGCTGGAAATGGTTCTGAAACTTGGCAACCCATCCTTACAAACCATGAAGTGGCAAATCTGATAATGAAAGGCTAACATACTAAGGATAATGAAACATAGAAATGAAAAAAGTCAAAAGCATGAATGATTTTGTTGAGCTGTAAGAAATAGGTTGGAAACACTTCCACCTTGAAATTTTCTGTTCTTGAGACAATTTTGAGATAATTTAAGGCACTCTTTGCAAAATAATCATGTTACACACATACAGAAGACACACACAAACATATATAATTTTACCTAAATGTGTTCATATTATGTATAGATTGTGTTGCAAGCTCTTTCATACAACTGTACATTTTGGACATATTACCATATCAAGCAATACAGATTCACATTATACTTTTTTAATGCCTCTATATTTAGAGATGTATTACAATTTATTTAAATAAATCCAATATTGAGCCTTTTTTTGGTATGATACTTTTTTTTTTTAAGACAGTGTTTCACTGTTACCCAGGCTAGAGTGCAAGGGTGCGATAATGGCTCACTGTAGCCTTGACCTCCCAGCTTAAGTGATCCTCCTGCCTTAGCCTCCTGAGCAGCTGGGACTATAGGTGCATGCCACCACACCCAGCTAATTTTCATTTTTTTTTTTTTTTTTTTTTTTTTTAGAGAAAGGGTTTTGTCATGTTGCACAGGCTGGTCTCAAACTCCTGGGCTCAAGCAATTCACCTGCTTCAGCCTCCCAAAGTACTGGGATTACAGCTGTGAGCCACCACACCCAGCCATATGATATATTTTTAAATGCAATGTGGAGTTTTGTTTTGTTTTTCAATTAGAGATGGGGTCTTGCTCTGTTGCCCAGACTGGAGCTGAATGGCATGATCATAGCTCACTGTAGCCTCAAACTCCTGGCCTCAAGAGAGCCTCCAAATTCAGTCTCCTTGGTAACTAGGACTACAGGTATGTACCATCAAGTCTGACTATTTTTTTTCTATTTTTTGTAGAGATGGGGGTCTTCCTATGTTGCCCAGGCTGCTTTTGAACTTCTGGCTTTAAGTGATCCTCCTGCCTCAGCTTCCCAAAGTACTGGGATTACAGGGGTGAGCCACTGCGCCTAGCCCACTGCAATGAGTTTTAATTGGTTTCCCAGCCATGCACTAATTTCAACCCACCCTACCCAATATTGCCAAAGTAATCTCCCAATCCCATTTTGTGACTGCCAAACACTGACTGCCTATTATACTCAATTCTTTAAATTTAAAATTGAGTCTCCTTATAGACTAGTTTGTTTACATTTTAACTTTGTCACTACCTTCTATTAACAATGTTCCATTACAGATAAATAGGTTTTCATTATCTAGAATGCAGTTATAGTCTTGTTTCTTGTCTTTGCTCATGGCATACTTTCTGGACGGTCTTTCTCTTTGTCATCAGGGCCATTTTCATTAGGTTGTCTTTCCACTAACATTTGGGGAAGCTGGGCTTGATGGCAGGTACCTGTAGTCCTAGCTACTTGAGAGGATGAAGCAGAAGAATCATTGAGCCCAGGAGTTCACGGCTGTTGTGCACAATGATCATGCTTGTGAATACCCAGTGCACTTCTGCTTGCGCAATACAGCAAGACCCCATCTCTTGAAAAAAAAAATGGGGAAACCCTGGGGACTATAAAGAGGACAAAGATAGCTCTTAGAGTTCAATGAAGTAAGACCATCCCTCAGTGTCCACAGGGGATTGGTTCCAGGACACTCCCACATACCAAAACCCCAGGATGCTCAAGTCCTTACACACAATGGTATAGTATTTGCATACAAACTATGCACATTGTCCCATATACCTTAAACCATCTCTAGGTTACTTATAATACCTAATACAATGGGAAATGCTATGTAAACAGTTGTTACATCCATATTGTTAAGGAAATAATGACAAGAAAAAAAGAGTCTGTGCGTGTTCAATGCAGACATTACCATTCTTTTTTTTTTTTTTTTTCAATTGTTTTTGTTCCAAAGTTGGTTGACACATATACAGAAGCCATGGATACAGAGGGCTAACTGAATTTCCTTCCAGGCCAGGACTATGTAATACAAATATGATGCAAGCCACCTATGTAATTAAAAATTTTCTAGAAGTCACATAAAAAGTAAAAATAAAGTTGAAATTAATTTTAACATATTTTATTTGATCCATTATATATTATTTCAACATGTAATCGACATAAGAATTACAATATTTTACATTTGTTTTCTAAGTCTTTGAAATCTGGTGTACATTTTGGACTCATTGCATGTCTCAGTTTGGACAAGCCACATTTCAAATGTCAAGAGACGTATTTAACTGGTGGCTACCCCAATGGATAGGGCAGTTCTAGGTAGTCTATTTTCAGTTCCTCTCTTCTCCCTTAAGCCTCTGGAACTGTGATGGGAATAATCTGTCATGTGAATTCCTAGCACTTATCAGCACCTCTCATTATCACTTGGCCTCCTTGCATTATTTATTTTTGTGATGCATTTGTCTTGTCTCATGAACTAACTTGTAAACTCTATGAAGTCCAGGACCAAAGACACATGTAATCTCAAGACTGGAAATATCTTTAACAAAACCATCAACTAATTATTCTGTTGATGTGTGGCTCCCCTGTACCAAGTCCCTATTAAGTGAGCTTCAGAATCTCCTTGAAGCAAAATTCTGTGGTTGAGGTATTCACACATGCTAAGGTAGGCAATTCTTTGGGTCGTGCTACAAGGGCATCTTCTTTTCAGGATCTTAAATCTGTTCCCTGAAGTTTGCATCACATGAAACAAATCAACTTCACATGATAGGTCATTTCATATTTGGAGAGAGTCCAGTAGTTTTCTCTCTTCTAGGTGAGTCCTGGAAGGTTTAATCAATCCTTCTTCACTTGCCCTGTTTTTGAGTTCTCGTCATCATTTTGCTCTTCCCTGATATAATGCCAGCTTGATTAAAGTCTTCAAATGCTGAACACAGCACTTCAGAGGTGGTCTGACCAGTAAAGACAATAACTGGATCACTATTGGCTGCCTCTACAAAACAGTTCTACCAGGCATCGGGGCACATTACCTTGAGGAAGCGGGAATGGCAGAAGAGAGCCACAACAAACATATTAACTCATACTATCTTTGCATTGTTGGCTTTTAGTCTAGAACTCTTTGCAGATAAACCACACAATTCTTTAGGTTAGTTTTTCTTCGTATCTTCCTATCTTTTCAATCGAGTTAGGGAATCTTTGGGCTTTCTGTTTTTGGAGGAGGTCTTCTGACCGAAGAGCCGACTTGCAGAGATCACTTTGAGGGAACTAAGCTGAGAATCCAGAAAGCTTATGGAAAACAGGCCTTGACACCAGAGAACCATGTATACTCTCTAGCAGCCAGAGGGCTTTGGCTGAAAACGACGATAGCAACTACCTGTTTCTTCATTCAAATTGCTCTCCTTTCCTTTACCTTTAATAGGAATTATTTCCTCCACATATTTACCTTACAGAGAAGGGCGGGGAGAAGACGCGGCAGACTGAAGTAAATGCAGGGAAAAAACTCACAGGTAGAGAGGTAGAGACGGCAGGCCTGGCCCGTTGCGGGCAGCCAGGGTAAAGTGGAGCGTCCCGCTCCCGCCCTGGGGCGCATCCTCGCCGCCGCCGGGACCTTCCGCCTCTGCTCCTCCGAACCCAGCGGACTAGAGGCTGGAGGCGGGAGGCGGAGCGGCGCGCGCACGCGGGCGGGGCAGAGGGCCCGGAGTCGACGAGTCGACGTGCCGACGTTGGCGCTGCAGCGGGGCGGTGACGTGTAGGCCGGCGCCAGCTCCACTCTGTCCCTCCTCGCCGGGTCTGTGCGTCTTTGCGTCTGTCTGTCTGACTGATGGTCCTCACACGCGGTTCCCTGTGACTGGGCGCGACCCCGGCAAGCGCGGCTTGGAGGGCGGACGGGGCGCGGCGATACAGCTGCCCGCTCGCATCTTTGGCCCTGCGCTCAGCTCCTCACCCGGCGTGGGAAGTTAAAGTAAAACCGAAAGGGAAGAAGGCGCGGTGGCAGGAGCTGACAGAGTGATGGGAAACGCGTGAGCCAGGCCGAGAGGTGAGGAGGTGGAGGTGGAGGTGGGAGGACGAGAAGGGTCGCCGCGGCCAGGGGAGCTGGCTGGAGGCGGGGACGGCGAGGCGGGCTACGCGACCCGCCAGAGATTCTCTTCCTGCCTCCGGGGCAAGTCCCGACCTGTCATCCTTTTCAGTGGCATGAGGTCGAGTCCGGGGTCTCGCAACAATACCGCCCATTCCTAGAGTTTGTAGGTGGGGTTGGGGATAGAAAACTTAACCTAAGCTACATATTGTCCAAGTGTTAAGCCACAACGTGACCAGATGAGGTTTTTCTGTCCCATGCATGGGTAATTTGTTTTCTTTTTTTCTGTTACAAAGCCTTGATAACTTCGTTTTCTTCACGTAGATTTGGGGAAAGAAATCTTCCTCATATTTTTCCCCCAACACACTGGAAAGTAAATAGGTAGCTGACCGTGATGGATTGTGGGTGAATTTCGCAATCAAGGAGCCTATAATGTCATTTTGAAATAAATAAATGTGTATGTGGGTGCTAGGGAGGTTTTGTGAGTACTGGGCAGTCATTTCAAATAGGTTTCTTATAAATTAACTTACTCATGGAATGCAGTGTGCTAATGGTATTTGCTATTCTTTGGTTTAAAAGAAGCATAATTCTAGGGGCTGGTAAAAGTTTGATGTGTTGTCACTTGTGCATTCAAACTCATGGTTACATTTTCTTTCTTTCCCTAGGTTAGGTGAGATTGACAGCCATTTTCTCCATCACCAGATTTTATGTTTCATAGATTGAAATCCTTTTTCTGATTCTCAAAGTTCTCAAATGTTGAGAATTAAGCTTTTGGTTTTACTATGGATTGTGCTCCAGTTTATGTTGTCTCTTTTTTTTAATGATGGTTATAATAGTCTTGCATGAGAAAAATGATCCTTAAAGATGCTCTTAAGCTTAGGCTAAATAATCCTATTTATATGAGAAATTAATTTTTCATGGTTCAGCTTTCTTGATCCCTGCTTAACAGTTTTTTGTCATTCATTCATTCAAGTCTTCCTATGTGTCAAACGCTGGGCTAGGCCTAGGAGAGCAAGAGAGAGACAGTCTCTGTGCTCATGAACTTTCTATAATCCAGCAGCCTCCTTTTAAGACAGAATCTTGACTAGGGTTCTTTCTCATGCCATGGATCTGTAGTTAACCAAAACAAAGCTTTTAAAAGAAAAAGTTATTGTCAATGTATATATGTAATTGGCATTGAAAGGGGAACAGATGATCTTGCTTTAACAGCATGATTTGATATTGCCTTTGATCAAAAAGTAGTATATGTACCAGTGGTTTGCCATTTCAGAAGAGTAAGTTTTTCTTTTTCAAAGCTTGTTTAAATATAAAGTTCACAGTTCTACCTCAGTTTCTACCTCAAAAAAAATAAATAAATAAAAAGCTTTTTCTTTTGAGGTAGAAATCAGTTTCTTTCCAGTCTTCACTTTGGTCTGATTGATCTCCTGTGTATCTCTGGAACCCCTAGGCTCAAGCAGTCCTCCTGCATCGGCCTCCCAAAGTGCTGGGATTACGGGCCCCATTTTGCCTTTTTGTATGCTAATGAATTGACTAAGAATTTTGTCTTAGCTAGCTGGCTGCTCCTAGTAGCTTCAGGATGGGGGCTGGTTACCAGAAAGGTCAAGGAATTATTAGAAGGTTGGGACTTTCATCCCCACCCCCTAACTGCTTAGGGAGGTGAGAGAGGGGCTGAAGATTAAGTTGATCACCAGTGGCCAAAGGGTTTAATCAATTATGCCTATGTAGTGAAGCCTCCATAAAAACTCAAAATGACAGGGTTCATAAAGCTTCTGAAAGCTGAACATGTGGAGATTCCTTGAGGTGGTGTGCCCAGGAAGTACTTGGAAGTTCTGCATGGAAATTCCCTTCCCTTATAAATTACCCTATCCTATGTATCTGTTCATCTGTATCCTTTGTAATATCCTTTATAATAAATTGGTAAACGTGTTTCCCTGAGTTCTGTGAACCACTCTAGCAAATTAACCGAACCCAAGGAGGGGGGTCATGTAATCCCCAATTTATAGCTGGTCAGTCAGAAGTACAGATAAAAAAGCCTGGAGCTTGTAATTGGCATCAGAAGTGGTGGGCAGTCTTGTGGGATTGGGCCTTCAATCTGTGGGATATGACAGTATCTCTAGATAGTGTCAGAAATGAATTGGAGAACACTCATCTGATGTCTGCTGCAGAAGTGATTGTTTGCTTGGTGCATGGGGAGAAACTCATACACATTTTGTCACAGACATCTTCTGTGTTGATGGTTGTCGTGTGAGAGCAGAGGAAAAACGGTTTGAGTTTTTTCCACTCTCACAAGAGGGCAGGCGTAAATTCCTTCAGTCTGCCTCCCAGAGGCTCATGGATTAGGGTGGAATGAGAATTTTGTCTTTCAGACATAATCTGTGCTAGGCCCTTTTCCACTGGACTTTCGTGGGAAGAGTTATAATACATACTGCCTAATATGTGCTGGGTCTGTTCCACGTTTTCTTGTGCTCGTTTCATCTTTGTGGGATATTCTGGAATTTTCTTTCTGACTATGCTTGTCCTTATCTGGTGTTAAAATATTTTTTTTTATTTGTTTTCCCAAGGACATTTAAAGGAAAAGCCTTCCTTACCCTGTGCTAAAAGTAAAATTAACACAACTTTGGGGGGGAATATTCTGAATATAAAGACTAATCTGCTTTATAGTTATGAGCCTGTCCAGGATTTTTTTCCCCCACCTTTGAATGGGAAACCTAGTTAGAGGATAAGTTAGAGAATAAGAGCCCCATAGAAATTTGGTTGTTTTTAACCATTATATATTTTGTATTGTGTGAAAAGTGTTTATGTGTTTTATTATTTTTGTCATGCTTTCTCTGTTCTGCATGCTTCAGATGTGTTTCCTAACTTGATTGAGAACTATTCAGGAGCAATTGCTTCTTGCTTAAGAATGAGTTAGCATCTAAAGTGAACTTGTTAGGTGGAAACTGTGAATAGCTAAGATTACCTTTGAGAATCCCTTAAAAGGACATCAAGTTGGCATAACATGCTGTCTCTCAGCATGTCCTACACAGCCATGTTTTTCATCCTGACTTGGAATGTATCACAGTTTCTTTAGATGAACTCCCAGTGAAAAAGTTGCTCTGTGTTTGGTCACCACCTTGTATGTTTTTTAAAAAAAGAGAAAAAGTGTTAAAAACTAGAATCATGCAATGCAGCAAGATGCTCACATTTTGAGATGCATGTGGTGATTGAAACAGACTAAAAGAGCAAGATTCTTGTTGCCCATCCCCCATTCACTCTGGAGCAGATATTCAATACCTGAAATGGTAAGCAGAATCTCTAGTAATTATTGTTTTTGTCTGTCTCTGCCTTCCTTTTTTTGGCCTACAGTGTTTGGTAGATTCAAGAAAGTTAAATGTGCCTAGACTCTGCTGTATGAACCAATTGATGGTAATAAGGTTTAATACAAGTAAGAAATTAAATTATCTTTAGGATTTATCATGAAAAAATCACCCCCTTTTGAAATCGCATAATGGAGGATTATAAATATGTGTCGACGATGGTTATTTTCTGAGTTCTGATCTTGCTAATGTTAACAATATCACAACTCAATTTTTAAAAAAGGCACAATAAAATATAAATATTCTTATTCACTGTTTAATATTTATTCACTGTTCATTTTTCAAGGTGTGGTTTGTGGGTACAAGATTCTATTTTAAGTACTGAAATCTTAAATTCTAATTTTACTCCATTTACAACCTACTCCTTCATGTCAGTGTTTTTATCCCTTAATCTGCAGTATATCACTTTGACTATTTTTGTCCCTTTAATAATTCCCTAGTATCCATAATTGCCAGTAACTAAGTGCTGACTTTAAACTTATTAGGAAATATAGTTTGGCTGTTTTGGAGATCTTTTCATATTTTTATAACGAAAAAATACAGTAACTATCTTTTCCTAAAGTTGCTATCAAGCAGTCAGACCATCTTTAGAGTTTAGAAACACAGGTTTGGTTTAAGAAGAATAAACATTACAATTTTAAATGTAGTACTTCAGAATAGTGTGTACTGGAATTCTAGCTCACTGATTATTGGTTAATATCATCTTGCAAAAGGAAATATGCTACCATCAGTTTAGTTTTCTCCTTATTTGGAATGTAAAAAAGGACAGTTACATTTTTAAGACTTTCTTTTTACCTGTACGTATGTTTAATTAACAATTTAAAGATTTGTTCAGATAGCCACAGCCAGTACTTCTGACGAACAGAAGTAGGCTTTTAGGGTTTCAATCCTTTAGAAATTATATTTGTTCTGGGGCATTAAATATTTATTATTAACAGAATTTTTCATTTATATATTTGTCATTTAGTGGACCATATTAAATGTGGAGTAAAAATTAGTAAGGTAAAAATTGATATGTAGGCCAGTTTTTCTTAATCCTTATTCACTGTGATCTTACCAGAAATTTTAACTATGAATGTTATGATTCATCTTTAAGACCTCCTAGTTGAACATCTTTTCCTTTCATCTAGGCCTAAAGTTAAGCACTTAATAACCCTTATCATTTAGGCTTCATTGTCCCACTGCCTCTGTGTTACAAAACCTTAACCCTGGTTCACACCAACCTTTGTTCCTATGCCAGATTATTGCCACCTTAAATTGTTTGCAGTATGAGCTGAGCATTCATTGCTACCTGAAAAATATTTCTTCTATTATTGTGGGTGGTAAGTTCAGACTTTTGCCTCTGTGTTAGAAAAAATCCCACCTCATCACCTGTTTGAACAGTCTTAGCATATCTCAAATAAAATCAGAGTCATTTTGGTGGAACTCCCTTTTACCATGTTTTTCTCTCCTCATTCACCCTCTGCTTAACCATGTTATAACCATATGCACTTCCACTCATCCTTCCTTCCGTACTCCTTCATCTATCCAAGTCTCTCTAGACCTATGCTTTTGTTGTCATTCTCGCCTGCATTCTCAGAGACCCTACTCCATCAGTCACAGTCTTTCTCCTGATTGCTCAACTTTTCCTTCTCTCTTTGCTCTCCCCTGATTATGATAAAATCATGATCAACTCTATCCTTTATTTTCAGAAACTCTTAAACCACATTATTTCAGTATTTCCTACTTTTTCTCCTTTTCTTTCTCATTTTCTTGAAAGAATAGCATGTACCCATTTGTAGGGTTTTTTGTTTGTTTGTTTGTTTTTTCCCTATTTTCTCCCTTTGCGTTTATCCTTCAACTCACTGAGATTTAGCTTCTACCATTTTTGGAAACTAGGTGTGCTAGTCATCTAGGACCGCAGAGTGGCTGAGTACAGTGGACTGTATCATGTCATTTGAAACTTTCTTTTCTGTTGTCATATCACTTTTCCATATGACAACTGATTTGTGGATCACTTTCTTAGAACTCTGTTCTTAACTCTCTACTGTCTACTTCCAAGAGGCCTTTAGGGGTGGAGTGCATGAATGGGCATTCATGCAGCTTTTGAAATGGAGTACAAAATGTTGTTTATATGTATGTATGTCTGTTTTCTTAGGAAGAGGGTCCATGGGCTTATGTATATTTGACTTAGACAATATTATGTTCATCCATGGTTTTAACTATGATGAAGTGATAACATGAAATTCTGGATTTCCAGCCCAGACCTCTGATAGGAAATCCAAAACCATATGCCCCACTTGATAGCCCATAATTAAAGTTTTCCAAAACAGAATTATCATTCCTCTTCCTGATGCCCTCTATACATATAGACTCCTCCACTCTTCAACATTTCCTAAGCCAGAAATTTGAGTGTCCTGCTCCTTTCTCCTTCTTTAAATCCTATTCCACATTGATTCTGTCTTCCAAGTATACTGATCTCCTAAATCCATCCTTTTATGTGTTTCCCTGGCTTAATTCTATCCTCTCTGTCTTTCAGTTGGTTTATTGAAATAACTTCCCAACTGGTTTGCCTGTGTCCTGTTTGACCCCACCTTGACAGTTCACCACATGTAAATCTGAGTAATTTTTCTGTAACATGTTAGTATTTTTTCAGTGATTCTGATTATCAGAATGAAAAGTGCCTAATTTGAGACATGTTGTTTGGTCTCTGCTTACATTTTTAGGTCTTATTTCATCAGTTTCCAAATGCACATTCTGTAGGGGTTTTAAAAGTAATTAAGTCTGTTATTTTGGCTTTCCCCCTCATAGTTTACCTCTTGTAATAACCTTGTCTAGGTCCTTTAAGTCTCAGCTCAAGCTCAGCTTCCTTCTTTATATCTAGTGCCCTCCCACCCCTTTAGATGCTCCTTCCCTGTCTTCCTACAGTTATAGCTGCATAATTATTGCAACTATTTTTCTTTCTTCCCAACCATACTGTAAGCTCATCATTGAGGGCAAGTGCAATCATATCAAAATGTTTTTCTTTTTTTAATCTCTAGAGCCTCATAAAATATCTAATATATGGTGGGTGATCTATAAATATTTGCTTAGTGAATGAATAACATAATATTTAAAATTTGTTTTCTCAATTTGACCTTTATACATTTCAAATAAAACTTAAAGGGAATCTTTTTCCTGGTACAAAATACAATGAGTTGTTTTTTTTTTTTTTTTTTTTTTGAGACAGAGTCTTGCTCTGTTGCCAGGCTGGAATGCAATGGTGCGATCTCTGCTCACTGCAACCTCTGCCTCCCGGGTTGAAGTGATTCTCCTGCCTCAGCCTCCTTAGTAGCTGGGACTACAGGTGCGCACCACCACGCCCAACTAATTTCTGTATTTTTAGTAGAGACGGGGTTTCACCATGTTGGCCAGGATGGTCTCAATCTCTTGACCTCGTGATCCGCCTGCCTCGGCCTCCCAAAGTGCTGGGATTACAGGTGTGAGCCACCGCGCCCAGCCTAAAATGCAATGAGTTTTGAAGAACTGTAAACTTCATTAACATCCAGTGCCTAGCCCAGATCCTAGTAGATAGGAGAAACTCAAATATTTGTGTATAAATGATTTATAGGTAACAATGAACTAATGAGCTGTTACATTTTTAGTGTTGCTCATTCAACCTGGGGAAGAAAACACATCAAATAAAAATAGCAAATCTGGTAATGTGCTTTGCTTCATTCCCTTAACAAGCATAATTTCATGCTGATTATTTTGATAAGATCTCAGGGAGCTTTACTTGATGTGTTTCCAGGATTTGTTTCAAGATTTAGAGCTCTTTTTAGCAGTTTTTGTAGTGCTGGCTTGGTAGTGGCGTGTTCTGAGCATTTGTTTGCCTAAAAAGACTGTACCATCCCTTCATTTATGAAGCTTAGTTTTGCTGGATACTAAATTCTTGGCTGATAATTGTTTTGTTTAAGGAGGCTGAAGATAGGGCTCCAATCCCTTCTAGCTTGTAGAGTTTCTGCTGAGAAATCTGCTGTTAATGTGATAGGTTTTCCTTTATAAGGTTACCTGGTGCTTCTGCCTCACAGCTCATAAGATTCCTTCCTTCATATTAACTTTAGATAACCTGATGACAGTGTGCCTAGGCGATGATCTTTTTGTGATGAATTTCCCAGGTGTTCTTTGAATGTCTTGTATTTGATTGTCTAGGTCTCTAGCAAGGCTGGGAGAGTTTTCTTAGATTATTCCCCCAAATATGTTTTCCAAACGTTTAGATTTCTCTTCTTCCTCAGGAACGCTGACTATTCTTAGGTTTGGTAATTTAACATAATCCCAGACCTCTTGGGGGCTTTGTTCATATTTTCTTATTCTTTTTTATTTGCCTTTGTTGGATTGGGTTAATTAGAAAACCTTGTCTTCGAGCTCTGAAGATCTGCTTGTTCAATTTTATTGCTGAGACTTTCCAGAGGATTTTGCATTTCTATAAATGTGTCCATTGTTTCCTGAAGTTTCGTTTCTTATTTATGTTGTCTATGTCACTGAAGATTTCTCCCTTCATTTATTGTTTATTTAAATTTCCATAAATTGGGCTTTGCCTTTCTCTGGTGCTTCCTTGATTAGCTTAATAACTGGCCTTCTGAATTCTTTTTCAGGTAAATCAGGGATTTCTTCTTGGTTTGGATCCATTGTTGGTGAGCTACTGTGATTTTTTGGGGGGGGTGTTAAAGAACCATGTTTTGTCATATTACCAGTGTTAGGTTTCTGGTTCTTCTCATTTGGGTAGGGTCTGTCAGAGAGAAGGTCTAGGACTCAAGGCTGTTGTTCAGATTATTTTGTCCCACGGGGTGTTCCCTTGATGATATTCTCCCCCTTTTCCTAGGGATATGGCTTCCTGAGAGCCAAGCTATAGTGATTGTTGTCTCTCTTCTGGATCTAGCCACTCAGCAGGTCTACCAGGCTTTGGGCTGGTACTGGGGGTTGTCTACACAGAGACCTGTGATGTGAACCGTCTGTGGGTCTCTCAGTCATGGATACCAGCACAGTATTTGGGGTATATCCTGGGCCCTGCAGGAGCAATCTGCTTCCTTCAGAAGGTCTGTGGGTTCTCTTGGCTTTCCTGATTTATTCCTGCCGTCATTCTGGAGCAAGAGTTTACAATGCAAGACTCCACACGGTGCTCTGTCAGAGTGGGAGCTGCAGTCTAGTCCTGCCTCCCGTCTGCCATGATCCCCCCCCGACCCTTTTTTTTTTCTACTCAGGTCTCAGGGAGCTTTAAAGTTTTCAGTTACTGTAGTTTGTAACAATGTGACCTCATTACCGAATCCTAATATTAGATCTCTTCTTAGAGGTTGAGTGTATTATCTTGTTAGGATTTGCTAGGTTTGTGAGTTAGAATAAAAATGAAGTCTTGCTTTCTACTTTTTAAAAAAGAAAGGCACAGAGGATTCAGGACATTACTGTGATGTATATAAAAATGGTGAAAGTAGTGGTCCCAAGTACCCCATTAATTTGTAAGACCATGCCAGAGGCACAGTATTAATACATCATGTTTCTTGTTCTGATGCTACATTTTGAAAGCACTAACTTGTGTGGTAAAAGGTAGGTTCTAGGTTCTGAGGCAGAGTATGTTTAGTTTACTATCAGAGCCTTTCTTTAAAGACTTGACTAAATTTAGTTATCTTGAATACATTTTTGCAGTGTCTCAGTGTGGGTAGAAAATAAAAACCCCAATGCTTTGGCATCCATTGTATACCTTACTTCCTCTCTATGGATGACATGTACAGTGTACATACATACTGTGTACTGTGTACAAACATACTGTGTACTGTGTACAATTCTTGGGAGAATTGAGAAAAAGTCAAGTCACTTTCAATAAAAGAGTTGTATTCTCTTACAGACCCCCATTGAGAAAGGCTGGTAGGAGCCAGGCTATGCACTGAATTCAGGCCATGGATTTCTGTCACCCAGGCTGACTGCAGTGGCATGATCATGGCTTACTGCAGCCTTGACCTTCCGGGCTCAAGCAATTCTCCCACCTCAGCCTCCTGAGTAGCTGGGACTACAGGTGCATGCCACTTGCCTGGCTTTTTAAAATTTTTTTGTAGAGTTGGGGGTCTCACTGTGTTGCCCAGGCTGGTCTCAAACTCCTGGCCTCAAGCAGTCCACCTGGCTTGGCCCCAAAGTGCTGGGATTACAGGTGTGAACCACTGTGCCTGGCCCCCAGTCCATGGATTTCTTAATAGATGAATTTCTTCCTTGGCCATTATTGGCTTGAGACAAAATTAAGCGGTGATTTAAGAATAAAAGACATTGGCTAGGCATGGTGGCTCACACCTGTAATCCCAGCACTTTAGGAGGCCGAGGCGGGCGGATCACGAGGTCAGGAGTTTGAAGCCAGGCTGACCAACATGGGGAAGCCCCATCTCTGCTAAAAATACCAAAATTAGCCGGGCGTGGTGGTGCGTACCTGTAATCCCAGCTACTCGGGAGGCTGAGGCAGGAGAATTGCTTGAATCTGGGAGGTGGAGGTTGCAGTGAGCCGAGATCACGCCACTGCACTCCAGCCTTGTCAACAAAGTGAGACTCCGTCTCAAAAGAAAAAAAAAAAAGAATAAAAGACATCATCTCTAAGACAGTGGTTCTCAACTACGATCCTTGACCTACTGCATCATCTGCAAAGTTGTTGGAAATGTAAATTTTCAAACCTCATCTCAGTGCCATCTGATCTGCTGAATTGGAATATTGGGGTGAAGAGAGTAAGGTGGTAGGGCTCAGCCAGTTTGTTTTTCAAGAAGCCCTGCAGGTAGTTTCAATATATAATAAAGTTTGAGAATCTCTGCTCTGTGCTGTCCACTGACTCTTGCTTTCATTTTTTTCTTCCAAATGCTCCAGGAAGTATGTTATCTAGTGTTAGAAAAATCCAGATGTGATTCCCTGAATCATCTTATTTCCATGCTCTCCTGAATTCACTCCCAACAGGTAGTTGAAATCTGAAGTCAGCTAACTTAGAAGTTTATTTGTAAGTTGGATCATTTGACTTCTCTGTTTAAAATTCTCCAATGTGATGTAGAGAGTCCAACTGTTTTTTCCCCAGCTGTCCTCATACCAGTTCTTTACTGATTTGCAGTGCAATCATGTTTGTTTTTAATACCTCATTTTTTTGTTTTTGATTTGTAATAAATATTTTGCTCAAAGAATGTGACCTCTATCAGGGATCAGTAAACAGATTTGGTCACCCTGAGCCCCAGAATGGGTTTTACACTTCTAAAGTGTCATTTTTAAAAAAAGGAATGAATGTATGGCAGAGACTGCGCTTGCCAAACCTAATTTTTTTTTTTTTTTGAGACGGACTCTCACTCTGTCACCCTAGCTGGAGTGCAGTGGGGCCATCTTGGCTCACTGCTACCTCTGCCTCCCAGGTTCAAGCGATTCTCATGCATCAGCCTCCTGACGCATGAGAAAAAATGCATTAAAAAATGCATTAAAAATGCATTTTTAAAAATATGCATTTTTTAAAATCAAGTTCAGGTTTCTATATTTGTTCATTAAATCAGACTTAGTAATTGTACTCTTCAGGTTCTCTATATCTTTATTGATTTTTTATTTTGGAGGGAAGATTGGCTTGACCTGACAATAATTGAAGTATTTAAACTTTTACTTTGATGTTAGACTTGTCACTTTCTCCTTGAGGTCTGTTTGTTTTATTTTGAGACTATCCTAGCAGTGCATACAAATTCAGAACTTTTAAGTCTTCTTAGTGAGCTTTATCTTATATTATTATGTAGAGAGGTTTTTTTTAATCCCTTCCTAATACCTTTTGTTTTGAAGCCAATTTTGTCTGATCTGATATTTTTGATAGAGCCACCAGCTACGTTTGGTTGTTTGCAGGAAGATCTTATCCTATCCTTTCAGCCTTTCCTTTCCTATGTTTTCAGTGTAGCACTAGTGTTTTACTTTTTTGTTATTTTGCAGTTCATCCTGTCAATCTTTTGAGAGGTAAGTTTAATTTGTATTTATTATGATTATTGATATATTTCAATTTGTTTTTATTTATCCTGCATTATCTATACTTAGTCTGTGACAGCATGCATGGGTTATTTCTTCAAGTCTTTTCCAGGTTATCACTTTTATTTTTAGCTGTTGCTTAACCCATCTGTTGATTGTTTTAAAATTTAACAAGTATATATTTTTATTTCTAAAAGTTGTATTTTCAAATCATCCTACTTGTATTTTATTATTCATTATTAAAAAATTTCTATTATAGTTGTTATAGATAGATATTTTGTATCTGATTATTCTAATATATAGGTCATAGATTTTTCCAAGTATTACCCTTTTTGATAACTTCAGGAATACAGTAGTCAAGAGGAACAGCAGGAGCAGAGAATAGTCTGAGACATTCTGTATGTCTCCCCTTTCCCAGTTCTTTCCTTCCCACGTTGGACATTTTGGTGTAGATAATTCTTAGTTGTTGGGGAGCTGTCCTCTGCATTTTATGTTTAGTAGCATCATTGGCCTCTATCCAGTAGAAATCAGTAGTCCCCTTCCACCTCCCTGATAGTTGTGACACCCAAAATATCTAAAATATTGCCAGATGTCCCATGTGGGGCAAAATCATTCCTAGCTGGGATGTTTTAAAGACTTACATAGCTTATGTGACATTCTTCAGGGAGCCGTGCCTTATAGATCTGTAGATAGTAGTTGTGTTATAATAAGCAATCTTAAACTAGTACAGTCCTCCAAGAGTCTTTCATAGATCAGGGCTCTCCTAATAGTAAATATTATTAATCTTTTTGCCTGGAAATTGTTTAGTCATCAGCCTGTTAAGGAGGAGATTAGACCAGGCCATCTGAATTCTCTCTTTCCCGGTATGTTCTTCCCCCTCATCAGCTGTTTTCTTTTCTGGCCTGTTGTCCAGTCTGTTACCATTTTTGCCTTTTCTTCATTTATCTTCCATTTATTCATTAACAGATACTTATTGAGTACCAAAAATATTCTGGTTCTGTTGTCTATTTGCTGGGGAGATTAGTAAAATAGAGATCTTTCTGTCATGAAGCTTACTTTTTGTGGGTTGAAACAACACATACGTTAGTAAATAAACAAGAAAGTGTCAAATATTACTTAGTGCTATAAAAAGAATTAAAATTTTGGGCTTTGATAGACAGCGACTGGGTCGCCTGTTTTAGATGGGGTGGTCAGGAAAGGCTGCATCTTAGGAGGCATCTTTTAAGCCAAGAGTTCAGTGTGAAGCCAGCTATACGAACATCAAGGGAAACCATTCCAAGCAGAGGAAACCACTGGAAAGTGGTGTAATTTGAAATCAGTGAGCATAAAACAAAATTAGGGAAAAAGATGAACAGGTGGTTTCATCTCTTTAAATATTATTGGCAGTAGTAATATAGTATTTGATGCCTGTACTTGGGAATCTACAGAACCCAATTTTGAGGAAATGTTTGTTTCTTTTTCCTTTCTCCAACCATAGCTAATGCTTTTTAAAAACAAAAAAACTTCATGGATAGAAAATATGTCAGGAGAATTTTTCAACGTTGATAACAATTGCTTTTTAACCAATTTTTTCCTTTTTTCTCTTGTACAAGCTAATTTGTTGAGTTTGATTACCTCTGCCACCTCTTCCGAACAGATAAATATCATCTTGTTTTGTTTCAGTTTCAGGTTTCTTGCTGTATGGATCACTGATTGAATAATAGATGGCTTTACCTCGTCTCACAGGAGCCTTGCGTTCCTTTTCAAATGTCACCAAGCAAGATAATTATAATGAAGAAGTGGCTGACTTAAAGGTAGATTTGTTAAAGGTAGAAATGTTGAACATTATTATAAACACAGACTATGGACAACTATTTGACATTCTTTTTCTCCATTCTATGTGGTTAACATGGAAGTTTTATCTTGTTTGGTGTGAGGCAAAGATGGAGAATGTGTATGCTGCTGTTTACTATGGTAATACTTACGTTTAGCATCTAAAACCATATTGTCAAGGGGAATAATCAGAACTATGATAATTGAATCCTTTGTTAATTTTTTTTTTGTTCAGCTCCCTACCACAGTTACGTTTGTAACTTAATCCTGTAATTTACCTCTGGATTATCTGAGTAAGTTTTTTTACCAGTGGTCTCTGGTAAAATTTACCAGTAGGTCTCTGGTAAAATTCTTATCAAATGAACAAAAGCAGTGTCTGTACCTTATGAGAAATATGAATATTAATCTCTTGAACTCAGAGGCTGATCTCATAATTGATTTGTCATTATAATTGGTAAGAAAGGCATTTAAGACTTAAGAAACATTGTTATTTTAAAAGCTACTTTGTGACTAAAACTTCAGAAATACATTTTAGTAAGAAACAAAAATTAAATGTACATGGACTGCTTTGACATTTATAGTAAAGACTGACCCCTGCTTTAGTAATTATGGTATGGAAAAGTTTCCTTATATGAGTTAATATTATAATAAATAATGCTAATGTTACCCTTCCTACAAATACAGGTAAATCTCACTAGGTCAAAAATGGGCAATTATCACTTTGGAAGATCATTTTTGTTTTATCGAAGGAACTTCTTCAGTGTCTTTCCTGTATAGGTTCAATGACTACATTTTCTGAATCACAAATTAGGGCATGACGTTTGGCAAGTAATTTCTTCTGATGGATAAACTTATATAAGTCTTAAAAAGGTATAAAATAAATTACATATGCAGTTACAAGTTTTAATATTATGGAAAAATTAAAAGCATATGATATCAAGACTTCCAGAAAATTCTAGACATGTACTTATAAGATACTTAAAGGAAAGATTCTTAGAAATGTCTCTGAATGTGGTATATTAGTTTGCACAGAATAACAAAATACCACAGATTAGGTGGCTTAAACAACAAAGATTTATTTTCTCATAGTTCTGTAGCTAGAAGTCCAAGATCAAGGTGTTGGCAGGCTTGGTTTCTTCTGAGGCTTCTCTGTGTGGCTTGCAAGTAAGGCAGCCTTCCTGCTGTGTCCTCACATGATTTGTCCTCTGTACAAGCACATCCCTGGTGTCTTTTTATGTGTCTAAATTTTGTTACAAGATCCATCAGATAATTAAGTCCCACTCTAAGGGCTTTAACTTAATCACCCCCTTTAAGGCCCGATTTTCAAAGATAGTCACATTCTGAGGTACTGAAGGTTAGGGAATCCACATATGAATTTTGAGGGTATATATGCAGCCAATAACGTACGGATTCTGATCAATTAGTAGATGTGATGATTTCACTACTGTGATGAATGAATGAACTTGTAATCTTTAAATTACTGTGGTTTCTTCCTGAATGTGATTTTGAAGTACATAAATCTTCTGTTTCAAAAGGCACAAGAAACAAAAGAGTAAAAGCTGTAGCCATTCATGTCATTTGAATGTATTTTGGACATCTTTGAAATTATTTATCTCTAGGGCCAGGCGCTGTGGCTCACGCCTGTAATCCCAGCACTTTGGAAGGCCTAGGCGGGTGGATCACTTGAGGTCATGACTTCGTGACCAGCCTGGCCAACATGGTGAAACCCCATCTCTACTAAAAGTACAAAAATCAGCCACGCATGGTGGTGGGCGCCTGTAATCCCAGCTACTCAGGAGGCTGAGGCAGGAGAATTGCTTGAACCTGGAAGACAGAGGTTTCAGTGAGCTGAGATTGTGCCACTGGACTCCAGCCTGGGTGACAGAGCGAGACTCCATCTCAAAAATAAATAAATAAATAAATAAATAAATAAATGAAATTATTTATCTCTAGGTTGCTGAAACTTGCACAAAATATAATAACAGGTTTCATATAAATGTCACAGGGAAAGGGCAAATGTTTTAGAAGCTTAGCCATAATGTTGTGAATTTTATAGGCCTGAAGCTCTATCAATTGAACATACGAAGAAATGAACCATGTAATATAGTATATGAAGTAACTGGCCCTTTTTTTTGAAAAACATCATTCACTTTAATTGCTGACTCATTTGAATCTATTGTAGAATGATAACATTGTTTCCTAGTAGATTAGAATTTTATTGCTAAAAGTCCTTATGCAGTTTTATAACTAATAGTTTCACTCAAAGATTGATACCGGGAAGGAGTTTTGTAACAGGTTTGTGATAGATTTTTTTTTCTCTAATGATACAAAATTTGGTTAGATACAAAACAGTTAACCTTCTTTTCAATAGTAGCTGTTTTACATTGTTCACAGCAGTTAAAACAAGAGTATATTAATATTGCTATCTTAAACCTGAATTATTTCCTCTCTTCACCTCCCCAAGGCCCTTTGCAAGTTACTCTGTATTAGAGATATAACAGAAGATTTTAAAATTTAAAAGTGTGTAAGTACTACAAGCTTATCCCATCTTATTAATTCCTATAAACTTTTAAACATTTTTTTCTTCCCTGAGGAAGGAAAGTGGTATAATGATGAGCTTCATTTTAATATAACTTTTTATGTCAGAAGCTGTTCAACATATACAAAAGTAAAGAGACAAATAAGATAAACCTTAATATGCTTACGACTCCATTGTAACAACTTAATTCATTTTATGGCCAATCTTATTTCATCTCTACCTTTGCCCATTCTCCTCCCCCTAAACTCAGATTGACTAGTCACATTTGAAATTAAAAAATGGAGGCAGGGAAGTAATGGTGAATTATGTATTTTCATCATTCTAACCAATAGCAAAATTACTGCTTTCTACCTGACCCACTACTTTTTCATTTGGTTTGAAAGCTTCATGAGTTTTCTCTATGGATCAAAGCCAGAGGTCTGAAATAAAATTTTTATTGTGTTCTGTGGTCAGTTCTTGAGAGTGGAAAGATTTGTAGTCTCAAATATACAAAAGCCTCAGAAGAACCCAAACCTGCCAACACCTTGATCTTGAACTTGTAGCTCCAGAACTGTGAGAAAATAAATTTCTCTTGTTTAAGCCACCTAATAGAAAAGAGTGTGTATAGAAAAGAATCTTCCAAATGCCTCACCTGGTCTAGGATCATGGTTAAGAAAGTAATGCTGACTTGAATATATTTGAACCTGTCATGGGAGTCTAATTTTCCATAAATGCGTTTCATTAAAAAGCATGACATAAAGCTCTTATTTATATACACTATAGTCTAAGCTATATTAAAAACAAGCAGTTAGAAAAATGGCAAGATGTGTGATGTTATCAGTAACAATAATAATATTGTTATCTGGATGTTGAACTTTTTACTTTGCTGTATGAAATGATTTTATGAGTATGCAGTGTAATTAAAACTGTAAAAAGAAGCTTTTATTAAACATATCTTTTCAACGAATGAGAATCTATGAACACCCATTTAAGTAAAATTGTTTTGTGAGTAGTCAGTTTGGATGTGAATAGATACAACTTTGAATTCTTGTGGGTAGTACCAAGTTGTATAATGTAATGCAAAATATATGTAATCAGCGTTGGAGTTGAGAAGAACTTTAAGCAGTACTTTTCTACATTATAATCTCTGTTTCAGATAAAGCGATCTAAACTTCATGAACAAGTTTTAGATTTGGGCCTGACATGGAAGAAGATAATAAAATTTTTGAATGAAAAACTGGAGAAGAGTAAAATGCAAAGTATAAATGAAGACTTAAAAGATATATTACATGCTGCAAAGCAGATAGGTATAGTTTTCTTTTTTTCTTTTTTTTTTTTAAAGAGAACCAGTAAGGTTCAAAAACAGATTCCTTGTAAACAACATACTATGTAAAGGAAAGCTAAAATTTCCTGGCATCTAAGTATTCATAATTATGAAAGACAGTCCTGGCCAGGCGCGGTGGCTCATGCATGTAACCCCAGCACCTTGGGAGGTCGAGGCAGGCAGATCGCTTGAGTCCAGGAGTTCGAGACCAGCCTGGGCAACATGGCAAAACCCTGTCTCTACTAAAAATACAAATAAAATAAACTAGCTAGGTGTGGTGGTGTGCACTTGTAGTCCCAGCTACTCTGGAGGCTGATGTGGGAAAATTACCTGAGCCTGGGAGGTTGAGGCTGTGGTGAGCCAAGATCATGCCACTGCACTTCAGTCTGGGCAACTCGAGTGAGACCCTGTCTCGAACAGAAAAAAAAAGACAGTCCGTATCTATCAGCGAGCTTCGGATAGAGAGTGACAGGCTGGGGATAGGCAGAAGTAAATTAGTAATTATAATACTATCTAGCATGAAGGATTTGTAGGAATTCAGTGTTTGAAAACCACTGTCTTGATTAAAATAAGGATAAAGTAAATTAAAATTTTAATGTAGCTCTAAGGAAGCTTAAAAGCTATGTAGCTCAGTCGCTTATTATAGATGCCCACCTAGTACACAGTGAATAACAGCACTTAAACTAGACTTTGACTGCTTCACTTCCCTTCCTACACTAATATTCTTATCAATTGATTATATTTGAAGGAAAATGTAATTTGAAATTACAATATTGTATACGAACTCAGGTTACTTTCCTAAGGCTAAAAATCAAACTAAATGAAACAAATGACTGGTAAAACCCCTGTGTTTGTACATTGAAATTCATCATATTGCAAATTCTGATAACTAAAAAGCATAATTAACACTATTATAGTTCTAGATTTTCCAAATTTAGCAGGTTTGCAACTATAAAATGTCCATACACCTATTCTGGTCTTGCATGATCTGGCCTTCCCCTCTGTCTGACCTCACTTCATTCTTGCCTTCATTACTGTGTCAAACACGTCTGTCTTCAACTTCCTCAAACCTACCAGGCTAGTACCTGATTTGGGTCTTCACACATGCTGCTCTCTGTGTTGGGAATGCTCTGTTCTAATCTTAATGATGGTAGATCCCTTTTTGTCATTTTAAACTCAGCTAAAAAATTACTTCCTTAATGAGGTCTTTTTGCCAGTAAGTTGTTACCCAATCACTCTTTATCTTATAATCATTCATAACATTTTCTCCATAACATGTATTATTGTCTGACATTTTACTTGTTTATTATCACTCTGATGTAAGTTTCATGAGAATAGGATCTTATTCTTGTTAAACTCTCCATCGCCAGTGCTTATACTAGAACCCACAATATTTTAGGGTCTTAATAAAAATTCATTTGTTAAATAAATGAAAAAACTGTTCTCAGGTGATTCCTTGGTAGAGAGAGAATTTGGATCCTTACCTTACCATATGCTTGCTGGTTGGCAATTTTATTCCATGTACCAGCTCTGGATTGTGTTTCTGTTACGTCTCATAGACTTGAAAACTTTTTATGATCATCAAATCTATAAATTTTTTTTTCCAAATATGTTAACTTTTTAAAATATGTCATTTAACTATCATTGGTCTGTAACCCAGTATGATATTTAATTGAATGTCCTCATTGTTTTAAGTTGTGAAAGTATAAAATGTCTCATGTTTGTACAGTTAGATCTTCCGAAGTTCAAGGACATTAGTAAAAATTGAGTTTGCTTAAGCCTAGGGGCAATATAACACACTTTGATGAGGTTTGTAATGGCATTTGGCATAGAATTAGACTTTATATTTTAAGAATACAGAGGCAGGTTGTTTGAAAAGTAGTGGCGAAAATACAGTCTTCCACATCACCTTGACTAGGATCTTAACCCTCCTGGTCTTCATCACATCTTCATTTGTAAGATGTTGAGGCCTCCAGAATCTGACTAAAGTACTTTTCAAAAACTATACAGAGTGTCCTTCCTCTTCTTTAGTTCTATTATAAAAATGCCTCTAAATACTGAGCAAAAATGTAATGACATATTGAGCTTATTCAATACCATGACTAAGTTTATTTCTTTACATAAATAAGGTGGAATTTAAGATTTAAAAAAAGAAAACCCTTTAGATTGCTTTCTCTGGCTATCTCTGGCCACAAGTCAAAAAAGATTGTTTTAAATACCAGTCATTAAATATAATTCTGGGGATTGTACCTGTGGTGAAGTAAATATCTGATTCATACTTAGGGACTGATCACCTGGCCCATGCGTTTAAGGGATTATTTTGAGATTAATGTCTCAAAAGAATATTTCTCAGACAAATAAAATCTTAAGTTGGATGTAGGCAAATTCTAAATCTTTTATACCCATTTTTAAATGCTGTGCTTCAGTTGAATAACTATTAGGTTTAGTGAAACTTAAGTTGAGTAGTAGTCAGCTGTCCCTTCTGGATGAAAATGCTGATACTGGAAATGTAATTAAAGCTACCAGCTTTGAAAGGATTAGTCTCATGTGGAAAATGTCCCTGTCATTTCTCTTATATTTATCTTCTATCATAGACAATTTTGCTATAATTGTATTAAAAAGGTTAAGCAAGAGAATAAAGAAAAAAATATTTCACTTGAGTATAATATTATGAGACACTTAAGGCTATGCGTATTGTTTAATCTGGACAATTGACATTAAGCTGGAGGAAATATCAGAGGACATCTTGTCTAATGTCTTCATTTTGTATGTGAAGAAACAGGGCCCATTAAAGTTAAGTGAATCCTGTGGTTTGTATGTGTTGAAAGTAGGCCTAGATCTAAATTCTGAAATAGAAGTATGGTAGAAATCCTAGATTTTTAGCTTTCCTTTCCTTGTAGTTAGAGGTCATATCCTAGTAAGTCTACTTTTCAGCTGTTCTTAAATTTACTCTGTATATTTACCATTGCCCCATTTCAGCCTTTTACCACCTCCTGTCTGAACTACTTCAGTAGTCGTTTGCTTTAGCCTTCCTTTCTCATCCACCTTCTTCACTGTCACTGGACTGATCTTTGTCAAAGGCAAAGCTCATTTTTATTCCCAGCTTACCTTTTAGATCAGATTCTTTAGAATGATACATAAAACTCCTTTATGAGTTGACACGATTTACTTTTTTATCTCTTTGCCATTGAATCACATGCAACCTTTATGCCAACATATGCAGTGTTTACTGTCTGAATTTCCTGAATAGTGCGTACTGCTTTTCCTCTCTCTTTTATGTGTTAAAATAACTTTCCCCATTGTGTCCTGTTATACATACTTATTTAGAGTACTTGTTTCATAATTATTTTCCTGTCTTCTCCCTTCACAGTAGTGAAGTCTCTGATAGACTGTGAATGCTTTAATGAAACAGGTATTACAGGAATCAGAGCATCTTTCTACTCCATTGCCTAATATGCTGCTAGGGATCCAGTAGATGTTCAATAAACAAATGAAGTATAGAGAATCCAACTCAAAGTTCTCTGTGGTCTTCACTACCTGTAATGCTGACGATGTCTTACAAGTGGCAGTTTCTCTCTTTTTTGTTATTTTTAAGTATTCCTCCTCTCACCCCCAACCCCACAATTTACATGTGGTATATTCCCATACCTTTTTACAATTTGATTCTTCCCTTAAGATTATTTTAATAATAAAATTTAGTTTTATGGAGAAAATATATAAATTATTTAAAAATAGTATTCTTGGTCCTTAATCTTAGTGTATTCAAATACTCATTGTAGGCATAGCTGTCTCCTTCATGACTGTTGAAGGATACAGTCTACATTCTGTTGGCAATGAAACTTTGTCAGTATATTTTATGTGCTCTAAGTATAAACTTTTTAAAATAAAGAAGTCAAGACTGAGACTAGTAATCAGTAAAATGCATTATGTATTAGGCATATATCTGTTACTTAAGAATTTAAATTATTTCATGAGGCCAGTAAGATTTGCACAGTGCAGACAGAAACTAAGATGGGGGCCAAGAGTAGTGGACAAGTGGGTAGAAAGACCTTACCATTCCCTAATCAGCTCTCTAACTGTCAAACTGAATATCTCTTCAAGAGCTAGAACAGAATGTTTGAAGTTGTCCCAGAGTGCATTGATCTAATGATTTTACTATAGTATGGATGCAAATCAAGACTCAGCCAGAAATGAACTAGTTTATTTCACTATTCAACTTGTCATAAAAAGACCTGTTTGTTTTGCTTTTTCTAATTTATAAGCCCTGATTTATATGAGTTTTGACTTTTTTATGCATCTTACCTTTAATAACTTCATCTTTAAGAAAACTATGAATCAAAAGGTAGGTTGGACAGGAGTGGCTTACAAAGTATGGTTTAAGGCATTTGTAAATCCATTGTAGTTTGTGAGTTATCAAGGAAGTAAGATTTTGCTGTTAAAAAATGAGGAATCAAAATCTAGGGTGGAAAGCCATTTATAAAGCAATGACTGGAATAGGAAGTATAAAAAGATAGTAGCAGAATCTGGCAATTTTGTGTGTGGACATAATGGTAGATATTTAGAATTCTAAAGGCCTGTTAAAGGGATATAGCAGTATTTGTGACAGTTATTTTGAAAATTGCAGATTGCAAAAGAGTTCAAAGAGTTTTACTTCCCACAAAGTGGCAGACAGGGTAATGTGGAACAACCCTCTACAGAGAATACCTAGAAAAACTGCAAAATACAAAATTTGTTTGACTATATCAGAGAAGTTATCAAAGCAGTGAAGATTTTTGGGGCCAAGATGTGGAAGCAGAAATTAACCCAGAAAATGTGATCCTGGCATTTGGGCTACTTTTTCCTAGAAGTGAATTGTCCATTCCAGAAGAGGAGGCTGGATGGAAAAGAGGAGGATGAGAAGATGAGCAGAGCTTCTGACAGATTCAGAGGACTAAGATGACAAAAATGACTAAAATGGACAAAAGAAGAAATAGAAAATCTGAATATTTGACTATTAAAGGAATTTAATCTGTAATTAAAAACCTTAAGTACAAAGAAATCTATATGCTATGATGGCTTTAATGGAGAATGTCATAATGTCATTTAAAAAGGTATGAGAGTACTATTGTAGATTAAAAGAGGTTAAAGGCATATAATAATCAAAATGTAATGTATGATCCTTGATTGACTCTTGAATCAGAAAAAAATTACGTATTTTTGGGGCCGTTGGAGAAATCTGAATATGGGCTGGACATCATTAGGTAATATTAGATCTCAGGTGTGATAATGTTGTGGCTATGTAAGAGGATATCCTAAATCTCAGGAGAAGCATACTGCAGTATATATAGTGGTATCTCATGAAGATTAAAATGTACTGTCAAATGTGTCAGCAAAAGAAATACACATGATGTGTGTGTGTGATCAAGTGTTTATAATGAGTGGATTAATAAATATGAGAAGATAGGGTGATTTGTTGTAAAGTAATAAAGGTTTAAAAATTACATGATTCAGTAGAGAAAAAGCATTTTATGAATATCTAACATTACTTATGATAAAAAATCTCAGCAAACTAGGAATAGAAGGGGATTTTGTTAATCTGATAAGCTGTAGCTATAAAAAACTTGGAGAAAACATACTTAATGCTACAAAGTTAGAAGCTTCCCTGAGGTACGGAATTAGACACAAATGCCTGTTACCACTTCTGTTTCTCACTGTATTAAAAATCCTTGCTAACATAATATGGCAAGAAAAAGTAAGGGCATAAAGACTGGAAAAAAAAACTTTTCCATTTTTCACATGACTGTACCTGTAGAAAATGAATTTAACAAGGTTAATATAAAAATCAATTTTATTTCTACTTACTAGAAGCACATTAAAAATTACACTTATCTTTATGTAACGTAATACATTTTACCTTAAATTTTAAAATTTTAATTTATTTTACGTTTACAAAAGCATCATAAACATCAAATACGTAGGAGTAAATTTAACAAAAAATAAGCAAGACTTCATGGAAAACTAAAATATTGAGAGAATTTAAAGAAGATCTAAATAAACAGAGGGATATACCAAGAATTGGAAGACTCACTATTATAATGATATATTTTTTACCCAAATTGATCTGTAGATTCAGTGCTATCCCAGGCACAGTCTTATGTTTGAGGGTGTGTGTGTGTGTGTGTGTGTATGTGTGCATGTGTGTGTGTGGAAATTGACAAGGGTAATATGAAAGTTATATGGAAATTCAAAGGCAAAGAGCAGCCTGGTTAACTTTGAAAAATAAAAAGGGAGAACTTACTCTAGTAGATCTTAAAACTTATTATAAAGATAAGTATACAGTGTGGTGTTGGTCCAAGAATAGGCAAATGGACTAGTATGACAGAATATAGCCCAGAAACAAACCTACGGATAGAAATATACTTGATTTATAATGAAGGCCAAACAATAGTGAGACAAGGCTATTTTTTCAGTATATGGTGCTGGGTCAACTGCATATACAGATGAAAAAAAGTACCTATTTTACAAATAATTTTAAACAGCCTACAGAATTAAGCATGATACACAAAACAATACATCTTCTAAAAGATGTAAAAGAGTGTCTTCAGGATCTTTGTATGTGCGAAAATTTATCAAACAGAGAACAAAAAGTACAAAGGGAATGATTAAGTTGGACTGTAGTAAAATTAATACCTTCTATTTATTAAGAGTAAAAAGGCAAAACATGGAGTGGGAGAATATAGCTTCAAGATATATAACCAAAAAGAGAGCTTTTATCCAGGTTAAATACGAGCTCCTACAAATCAATAAGGAAAGGACAGATAATCCTATATGAACATGAGTAAGAGCTTTGAACAAGGACTTCACAAGAGATAGTTGACCAGTAAACATGAAAAGGGCTTCAGCTTCATTGGTAGTCAAGGATATGCCACTGCATGCCCATTAGAATGGTTAAAATGTAAAAGACTGACATACCTATTGTTAGGATCAAGAATGTGAACTAGAATTTTTGTCTACTGCTGCTAGAGTTTACAATTGGTACAACCACTTTGAGTAACTGTTTGACAGTGTCTACTATTACCTACTGTGGTTGGACAAGTGAAATTTTAAATCTTAGGACATAAATATCCAATAAAAATGCTTGTACATACATGTATATCAAAAATAGGTGCATTCATTGCAACATTATTTGTGATAGCCTTAATGTAGAAACAACCCAGTTCATTGTTAAAAAGCTTAAGTTGTAGTATGTAGACTGCCTTATAGCAGTAACGGATTACAGCTATGTATAACATTGTAAGTGAATCTTATAATGTTGACAAAAGAAGCCATACAACACATATTATGATTCCATTAATATGAAACTGAAAACTAGGCATGACCAGTCTCTGGTTTTAGAAGTCAGGATAGTGGCTGCTTTTGAGGAAGGAGGTAGTGACTAGGAGTGAATATGAGGGAGGTTTCTGGGGAGCTGATAATGTTCTGATTCTTGAAGTAGTTAACCAGATTACACAGGTGTGTTCGTTTTTTGATAATTCTTTGAACTGTATGTGTACTGTATATTTTCTTGTTATATTCAATAAAAAGAATTACTATGATTTTTATATTACATAGATTAAATAAGAAGTATTTCAGATTGATAAGTAACACATGCTTGTGTATTTATTTAGCTTAAGGTTTGGCTATCATGGTGAGAACTCCTATGTACCCTGCTCAGGTCCTGGTAAACAGTATCATAAGTATAATAAATTGGTGTTTTTCATTCTCATGCCTATTTTTATATTTGTGTTACCTATTTATACATCCATAAATATATGTATTAGGAATACATTCAGCTCAAATATCAAAACCTATTGTGATAAAGCCACCAAGTGGGTTAATTTGTTTCATCTGACAAGTTCCCTATGTAGGTCAGCAGCTTGATAATGGTAGGGCTCAAGTCTGTGCTAATGATTTGGCCTTTTCTTCACATTTGTTGCCTTTTATTCACCAGATATCTGCTCCACATCTAGGCATTATATCTGTGTACTTGATGCAACTATATTTCTTGTACTGTCTTTATTTGCTTTTCAGATTCCTAACTTTTTTATAGTTTGGGATAATTTCAAAGTATCAGTTAATATATGTGGGTACAAATTCAGTTCTGTCAGTTACTAGTGGGTAGCTAATTAATATCACTAAACCTCTTTTCTCTTCTATAATATGGTTATAACAGTTCTCACCCTCTGTAGTTGTTGTGATGTTAAGTAGTAGTATAAAGTGCCTAGGGTTAAACTGATAAGTGGCTGTCAATTAATAATTTTATTATAACTTAGATGTGCTAATAACCATTAGTAAACAAATAGTTGCTTCTATGGGTTAAATGTTATGACAGATGTAATGTGTCCAGTGATGTACTGGTTCAAAGAGCAGGAAACTGCTTAGGTAAGTCAGGAAAGAATTCATAGAGAAGGTAACATTGGACAGCATTATATTGTGTTTTGAATGTTTCAAAGACAGAGGTGTTATATTTATGTCCATTTTACAAGAGAAATTTTAAAAAGCTGGATAACTTTATAAAAATCAAGAGTACTTTGCAAATGTATCAGCTGTGTAAATAGGTAATTCAGATTACCTGGGAATATAGCTAAACAATTGTAAACAGAATGGATACTGGCTGGGTACAGTGGCTTACGCCTGTAATCCCAGAATTTTGGGAGGCCAAGGCGGGTGGATTGCTTGAGCTCAGGAGTTTGAGACTAGCCTGGACAACATGGTGAAACCCCATCTCTACAAAAAATACAAAAACAATTAGCCAGGCATGGTAGTGCACGTCTGTAGTCCCAGCTACTCGGGAGGCTGAGTTTGGAGGATGGCTTGAGTCCAGGAGGCAGAGGCTGCAGTGAGCCAAGATTGTGCCACTGCACTCCAGACTGGGTGACAGAGTCAGACCCTGTCTCTAAAAAAGAAAAAAAAAAAAAGGTTCTTGACAATTTGCTTTAGTTTATTAGTAGATTAGTTTTCATTAACAAATTATGATTCCTTAAATATAAGAAAATTTAAAACTGCATTCCTTAGTAGAGGCATTTTAAAAGTGATACTTTTAAATAGTATTACGAGTATAATATTAATAAGCATCTGATATATGGATGCAATACTGAAGTGTTGCACTGAAGTGAAAATAATCTTTTTTGTTTGTTTTTCCTTGGATGTTAAAACAATCTAAAATGGAAGTTAAATCTCAGTGAGCTATATGATTTGTTTTAATTTCCTTAGTGATGCTCAAAATGATGGTTTTATTATAGGAAGCTTTTATATGAAGTCTAATTCAAACTTTTATGTTAGCTATTTGGTTGCTTGGGAAGTTACATTGTAATTTGATGCAGGATTTTATACTACTGGAAAGGTAATATAGTGGCTGGTTGCTGCCTTAAAGTTGCAAGTTGAGTATTCACATTTTGTAACGAATGTACATAAAATTAAATGGCTGTTTCTAAAACATAGGGAAATGCCTTGAACTATTTTTAATCTTTTGTACTACTACTATTTTTTTCTAACAAATATCTTTGTTTGCTTTCCTTTATTTGTTCATCCCAAAGGCAACAGTTTTTATGTAAATGTAGTAATAATTTTAACATTTAAGTAACTCCTTCAAATTACTATATTGAACATTTCTTGAATACTTTCCCTGTTTAATGCAAGGTATTGCTAAAGGTGCTTTCATGCACGGAAAGAGTTTATACTCTAAAATACATGAGGCTTATTATACTAAATTACATTACTTAGGCAATTTTAAAATTATATCACAGAAATTGTTCATTTTATTCCCCCAAAAGCCACATGGAAAATGCCTACCTCTGTTATGTCAAAAGTTTGATAATTTTGTGATCATTTGAAAGATGGTTTAATACTCTCCCCCTCAAAAAAAAAAAAAAAAGTACCTGGCTTGTTCTTGTAGCATCAGTATGTTATGTAATCTGTTTGTATCTGAGTTTTTCTGTAAAATTGAGGAAAATATTAGCAAGATTCATGAGACTAGTTTAGATATTGTACTTGTTTAATAATTACACTAATGGGAAATGAACAGGAATATATAGAGGGAAAAATTATGGGGACATGGTATATTTTATATTCAAGTTGAATCATTTTTGTATTTTGTTAAATAATGTACTTTGTTGTATCTAATGTTGTAGGTAAGGTCCTGTATTTTACATATTTGTAAAAGAAAACATCATCATACTTGCCAGATTCAAAAAAATCAGCTAATCTCTGAGGATTTAACAGGTCAGGGAACTCATTTGTTGACAACTTCTAAATTGAATACTTATTGGCTGGGTACAGTGGCTCACGCCTGTAATCCCAGCCCTTTAGGAGGCCAAGATAGGTGGATCACCCGAACTCAGGAGTTTGAGACCAGCCTGGGCCACATTGTGAAATGACTCTACAAAAAAATTTAAAAATTAGCTAGGCATAGTGGCGTGTGCCTGTACTCCCAGCTACTCAGGAGGCTGAGACTGGAGAATCACTTGAGCCCAGGAGGCGAAGGTTGCAGGGAGCCCAGATTGTGCCACTGCACTCCAGTCTGGGTGACAGAGCAAGACTCCGTCTCAAAACTGCACTCCAACCTGGGTGACAGAGCAAGACTCCGTCTCAAAAAAAAAAAAAAAAAAAGGAATATTTATCAATTATGGATGCAAGTGATTGATATTTTAATTCAATCTTTAATTAAAATTTTCTACTCATCCTTTTTCCAGGATTCCTCAACTATTAAAGTAGGCTACAGAAAAAAGTGACAACTTACAACCACTTAATTCTTAATATTTTGAATCAAAAGAAAACAGACGTAGATTGTGTGTTGAGGATGATTGACAATTGTAACCATTTAACTCTTTGATTTTAAAAAATTATTTTATAATCTTATAGTAACAATCTACCAAATATATCATTTTATATGGTAAGGTTCTATATAAGGTTTTTTAAGTTTGAAAATTATTTATAATAAAAGCGCACCAGTCAGCCAGCCAAGTTGAGTTCTGATCATGCTCTGCTACTTAATGGTGATTTTTGGCAAGCCTCTTTCACTTTTGACTTTTTTTTTTTTAATTCTGGGAAGTGCCTTATAGTTTACTATGCATTTCACATCCCATTTCCTCTCAATATAACTGCAAAGTAGGGTGAGTATTTCTTCTTAATAAAAGTATTGTAGGGACCTTCTAAGTGCATCCTTTTAAATATATTACAGTTGAAGTGCCAGGTGGGTAGAGCCAGTTTTCCGGTTTACAGCTTATGTTATTCAGTGTTTTATGGATACAAAGTTAGATACCCAAGTATGTAGGTTTCTAGAGTACCTTCTTTAAAAGTTTGGAGTTCTTAAGTTTTATATCAAGTCTTATATAAACTTTTCGTCAGTTGATTAGTGTATCAATTTATCTGTGGCCAAATCTAAACTTAAAATCCTGATTCCTCTTTGAAAGGTGACCACAGTGAGTGATATGAAGCAGACAGAAAAAGCTTTAAGAATTGGGTGCAAATGTTAACTTAACCAAAGATCATAAACCTAATCGTTTTTATTATTAAATTACATATAGAATATAAAGGGAAGTGAACAAAAGGCTATTTCGGAACAGGATTCTCACAGTTAATGTAACATGTTCAATTTTGGATTTAGTGTCAGAAAACAAGAACATGACTAACACCTTTCTACTTTAGAAGTGTACCACACGCGTTGTCCAAAGCCGTTCCATCTCCCCCTTCTGATGTGGCCAATTGGGTGGTGGTTCAGCCGGCTAATAGAGGTTCGCTTAGTGTTTCCCTTCCAATTACATTTTTGTTGAGGGTAAGTTGGGCCTTGGATAGCTTTGGCTAATTAGACAACTGACTGCATCGTTTTCTTCAGATACTTTGTCTACATTTTACAAACTTTTCATACATTTTAGTCACCCAAAAAACACTGAGTGGGCTGTACCAGCAAGCTGTGGTGCATCCTTTGCGGCCCCAGCACCTGGGGTCCTTCGTCTGCTCCAATCTGATCAGGGCTCTCATCTGGGCAGCGTGCTAACAGCCAGTCTCTTACGCCTACATACGTCATCTCATGCGGACAGTGTGCTGGAAAGCATGTCGGTGCCTCTTAGGGAAGACAAGCCGGGGTGGTTGCCCCTTAGGGAAGACAAGCCGGGGTGGTTGCAGGAAGATGGTGAAAGTGGAAGTTACCATCTGATGTTTTAGCGCCCTGAAAAAGTTCATTGTTTTCAGAATGCCGTAGTCATTATTTCTGTTGTGTAGTCATCCATGTTAACAAATAGTGTTGGCTGGTGGAACTCCCAGAACCGTAAGGCATATAGAGATTCTCTGTTGAAAAACTGTTCTGTGGTATGAACACGTGTCCATTTCACATAGGTTGTGCAGGAGAGTTAGTAATTAGGGTAGAGTATTAACATTTATGAAACACCACAACCCAGCAAGGTTTAAATTTTTTTAAGTATTTGTGATTTTTGAAATTATAGATTTAAGTTAATGGTTATTAAAAATTTGACACTCCAAAAAAGTTGATCTTTGTTGATGTTTCTGTGAGTCTACAATTATTTTCTCTTCAAACATGGGCTTATAGCTTTTTTACCCACTATTAATGGACTTTTTAAAGGCAAGATATATAAATCTGCTGCACTATATTTAGTGAATGTATATGGCTATATCAGAATTCAACCAGTAACCTAATAATGGATATTTAAGTTAATTACACTTTTACATTAGATAATAAGGCTGTTCTTCCACTATTTGATTTCTTAAGGTGACCTATTTATTTTTAAAATTTATTTTGTAAACAAGAATTAGAAATAAGTCTACTGTCTAGGAATTTACAGGGAATCAGTGTGACATAGGGGAAATAACTTGTTTAGGAGTTAGAAGACTAATGTTAATCTTGTTTAATGATGTAATAGCTGTTTGATCTTTCCCTAATTACTCAAATTCTGTTTCCATTTAACATCTATAAAATGGAGATACTTTTGTTAGGACAAAGTGAGATAATTATGTGAAAGTTTTTAGTAAATTATTATTTTTAAAAAAATCCCAAGATGCAAAGTGTTAGCAATACTATCTTTACAAAAAATGTGTATTTACAATGGTAGATAATGTTTGTAAATGTGAATTCCATTTTTGCTCAGACTTTAGTATCAGTTCTATCAACCCCTTTAAATTATCTGTAGAAGTACCATAATCCCCAAATTATCCAAATCCTGTTTTACAAGTTATAAGTAAAATGTATAGAATGAATAAATAAATGTATATAAATGCTATTGAATTAATTTAAAAGCACTATTTATAGATTTTCATATATTTTCTTAAATACTAAAAGAATAATTGTATGTCAGATAATTGTGTAAATTATAACAGTAAAAGTAGACTTCATACTTGAACAAATTGGAAATATACATTGTAAAATTGCTTATTTTCCTACCTATAAACTGTTAATCTTCTACACATGATTGAATAGCAGATAAAGTAAAAAGTGACTCAGGCAGTTTGATGTAGTATAAAAATACTAATCTGGTGTCAGTGAGGCCTGGGTCTAGTTTAAATCAACTAATCTTTGTGGAGCTACCTATTTGGGGCTAAGTACAGTGAGGAATACTACAGTGGTATTGTCATCAATACCATTGTATTTGTACAATGTACTCAACGTTGTACTCATCTTGAAAGAGGTAGTTGAGCTATATTCTGAAACATGGGTAGGATTTGAACAATCAGAGGCCTTGAAGAAGAATCAGTATGATATAGAAATAGGCATAGAGTGGGGTAGAACGTGGTTTTTGGTGAAGAAATTCTTTTTGGCTGGAGCAGGAAATATATAATAGCCAATAAGACTGGAAAATAAAATGCTGGGGTCAGCTTCTGGCAGTGTAGGAGCTTGGATCAAGCTATAGTAAGCTGTGGAAGATTTGTGAATAATGATACTGGAGTCATGTTTCCTTCTTTTTTTTTTTTTTTTTTTTTTGATAGAGTCTCAATTCTGTCACCCAGGCTGGAGTACAGCGATGCTATCTCTGCTCACTGCAACCTCCGCCTCCTAGGTTCAAGCGGTCCTCCTGCCTCAGCCTCTCGAGTAGCTGGGATTACAGGTGTGTGGCACCACACCCAGCTAATTTTTGTATTTTTAGTAAAGACGGGATTTCACCATGTTGGCCAGGCTGTTCTCGAACTGCTGACCTCAGGTGATCCACCCACCTCGGCCTCCCAAAGTGCTGGGATTACAGGCGGGAGCAACTGCAGAGTCATGTTTTTTAGAAAGATACCAGTATTCATTACATTATTAACTTTAACAGTATTTAGGTAAGTCACATAGCTTTTGGGGCCTTTTGAAGATTTAAATTCTTCTTTTCTTCTCTAAGAATATTCTTTGAAACCCATGTCAGAAATACAGATTCTTTTTTTTATTTGAGAAAATTGGATATGAGAAAATGCCTTAAATAAATTAGAGGCTGATTCTTCTTATATTTACTTCTAGCCTCTTTTAAACAGGAGCTTTCTTTTTTATTTTATAATATGACTAACTTTATCTTCAGCTTAATAAATATCCTTGATGGTATTAAATGTTTTTGAATGAGAACTATAGAAGTATTTCTTGCCATCTCAGGTTTATGGTACAAATTGGAAAGAAAATTATAGATATTTGAGGTTTCCTTGAAGCTCCAAAAGTCTATAATTCAGATTGTTTTCTGTACCTTACTTTGGTTTATTTAACTAGCTCATCAAATCAATCTTTAAAATTAGTTTTAAAGTGAGTTTTAGCTAGTGTCTCAAGTTGTTTTTAGAAAGAAGCTGTAAGGATTGTTACTAGGTAGTTTCTGCACTTAGATACATAATAATTACTGATAATGATTTATTTACCTAAAATAGTTCTTTGGGAAATAAATAGTTCTTCAGGAATGGGTTGGTTCCTGCTCCTTAAATTGGCTATCTGTCTTTATTGTTATGTTTTTGTTGTTTTTTTTACAAGGTCTCACACTGTTGCCCAGGCTGAGTACAGTGACACAATCATGGCTCGCTGCAGCCCCAACCTTCCAGGCTCAAGCAATCCTTCCACCTCAGCCTCCTGAGTAGCTGGGACTACAGGTGCACACCACCATACCTGGCTAATTTTTAAAAATTTTTGTAGAGATGGTTCTCACCATATTGCCCAGGCTGGTCTTGAACTCCTAGACTCAAGTGATCTTCCTGCCTTGACCTTCCAGAGTGTGGGGATTATATGGAGCCATTACACCTGGTCTATTGCTATGATTTGACTGTTAGATTTACTCAGGAGAATATTTGTGGTAATTTTTTGGAAGATCGTAACTTGAACCATGATTCAATTGAGCTAATACTGTTTCTTTTGTCTTTGAATAGTTGGAACTGATAATGGGAGAGAAGCAATTGAAAGTGGGGCTGCATTTCTCTTCATGACATTTCACTTGAAGGACTCTGTTGGTCACAAGGAAACAAAGGCTATCAAACAGATGTTTGGCCCCTTTCCTTCATCATCTGCCACTGCAGCTTGTAATGCTACTAATCGAATTATTTCTCATTTTAGTCAAGATGATCTTACTGCTCTTGTGCAGATGACAGAAAAAGAACATGGCGATAGGGTTTTTTTTGGTAAAAATTTAGCATTTTCATTTGACATGCATGATTTGGACCACTTTGACGAACTGCCAATAAATGGTGAAACTCAGAAAACTATAAGCCTAGATTATAAGAAGTTTCTGAATGAACATCTCCAGGAGGCTTGCACCCCAGAACTCAAGCCTGTGGAAAAAACAAATGGCTCCTTTTTGTGGTGTGAAGTTGAAAAGTACCTAAATTCAACTTTGAAGGAAATGACTGAAGTGCCAAGAGTAGAAGATCTTTGCTGTACTTTATATGATATGCTTGCTTCTATTAAAAGTGGTGATGAACTTCAGGATGAGGTATAGTTGAAATGATTTATTTTTTTATATTAATGTGAACTATCCTAATGAAATAGTGTTTTTTAAACATGGGTGGTTAGCAAAGAAAGTTCTTTAATGTTCTGTATAGTAGTTGAATCTATAGCCAAATGGTTTCACATAGCAGGCCTGTATATACGTTCCTAATGGATAGTTACAGGAGGTCTGAAAGTGTAATGAGTGTAGCAGAGGAGTAAGCAGACAATAGTTGGGTGTCCACATGCTCTGGTTACTGGGACAGTGCTGGTTTGATGTCAACTTAATTTTAATACTGGACAAATTGAATGAGTAATATATTTCATGAAAGATTAAGAGGGATGGCCTACTGTTGTAGAAAGGACAGGCTTTGAAATCAGTTTGTTCTTCCCTTTCCACTTACTGGTTGTGACACTTTAGGTAACTTAATCTCTCAGAAGCTCAGTTTTCTTGTTGGGCTATCTCAAGGAGACACCAATATCAAGATAGATAATTGTTATAAGGATTGAATGTGATATATGCAAAATGGTAAGTAACATGTTAAATAATCATTATGTGGTAGCTGTGATTATTTTTGTCGTTATTATTGGAATTAAGAATTTTTAAATCACATTGAGTATTGGAAATACAGAAAAAATACTAGCTGTATTTTTCAGAGAAAAATTAATTTAGAGAATTAGCTAAGTAGGTATTGGAGGACTTAACCCATAGGTGTTATGCCAACTAACATTAGTTTGGAAGTAAGATATTATATCATTAATTCTGTGATCAGTCTTTTTACTGTGAATGTTTTACACTTGGTTTAATTTTTATCAGATCTGTTCTCACTATTAAATTTTCTCTAACATTCTGAACATAATATTGTTTTAAAAATTGTGATTTACGAAGAAAATTTTACTAATATTTGCTCATCATAATTGAATACATAGTAGTTATCCAATTATGATTATAATAAACTGAAATTTATAAATATCTAATTAATGGATATTTTATTTTCTTAGTAAGCCATAAAACCATTACTTTCACTTCTGAATATCTATAGTAAGTTTGTATTTCTTAGTCTTTCACCACAATTTTAAAGTATGTAACTGAATCTGATTGTTGGAAGGGGAGTATTTGTGCTAGATTTTTTTCATAATAGCTTCATTTGTCATATATTTATTGTATGCTTATTGTATTGCTAGGTACAGTGCTATTTACTGAACATAAAAGGATGAATAAGATAGCAAACTTGTTCTCAGAATTAATTGTCTAGCAGGAGGAGACATGTCAACAAGTAACTGTACTGAAATATCATAGGTATTATAATACTACATGCAAAGAAAATGGGTGCATAAAAGAACAAGTCATAGATTTTATAGAGGTGTTAGTATGGTAGCAAAAGTATGCATAGAGAAGGTTAAGCTTGAACCAATTCTTAAAATATGACTAGATTTAACTCTTTCAAGTGGACCAGAAAGGTAGGGAGCATATTTCAGGCTTGAACACTGTTTTCAGAGAGCTGTAGCTCTGTACAGCAAGCATGCAAGATGCAAAGGTGGAGTGCTGAGAAACAAGGGTATGCAGATAGGTAAGAGCCAAAGGAGGTGAGGGCTGAGCGCCTTGTTAAGGTGTATGACAAGCCACACTGAAGTCTGCATAGTCTGGTTCAATGATTTTTTTCAACCAGGGTTAATGGATAGTTTAACATGTAAGTTGATATTTCACATCCTGTCAGTGGCTTGAGTGGTAGTTCTGTATAGTTTTATGTAGTCAGTGTTTTGGTTTTCCTGTTCGTATATGAAAATGGACAATCATTGTCATAATTTTTGTTCTGCAGTATAGATTATTCATGCTTTATATTTTAGATACAATTCTTTGCTGTTATATGTTATATTCTGTTGTTATGGCAAATTTTCAGTATAATTTTCAAGTGATACTTCAGGAGTTTTCTACAATTGTTTCCCTACAGTTGTTTCACTGCGGTTGTTCTTGACCAGTGTTGTTTTCACTTTAGGGTGTGCGTGCTATACCTTATGTGTTGTCTATTTACTTCTAAATACTTAAGCCTGGAAAGAGGATAATTAAAAAGGCCATCAGTTCATATGATAACAGTTAATTTCTATTTCTTTTTAAGCTTTTACTTGACTCTTTATTTAAATAGGAATATTTATGTAGCATGCTGTGTGCTCTTGCTCCAGAAATGTAGCAGAACCATGGGAATATTTTTACATATAATCTAAGAAAAGCATATAAAGCTACTTCTATGCTGATGGCAAAAATTCTTCTCAACCTGTGGTTTCCCAGCTCTGAATAGTTAATTGACATAATGACTAATTGATGATAAATCCATTTTTAAGGGCTAGCTATTAAAGTCTTTTTTAAAAAGACCTTTATGTTATTGTTAAACTAGTGTTAGAAACATGGGAATAAAAAGTATATTCATATGATTACATTTACCACAAAGACTGTGTAAGAGAGATTTCTGACTGAAACGTGGAGAGGAATAAGACTAATGACAATAGTAATAATAATAACTGACATTAATATGTGACATAAGGCATTATGTTAAGTGCTTTATGTGCATGACTTCATTTAATCTTTATAGCAGTGCTTTGAGATAGGCAGTGCTGGATTAAGATGTTAGAAGCCCTAAGAACTGAAAAGGTTACACTCTGAGGCATTTCTCCTCCTCTCCCATATGTGATTAAAATTTTTTTAAAAATAGCATACTAAAGCAAACATAAGAAAATCTAACAAAATTTCATTTATTACTGTGGTGACAAAGTTGATGTCTTTTTCAAACATCAAGTTCCGTTTTGAGAAGTTTTTCTAACTTTCCTGGTCTGCTTTGCTGGTACCTTAAGTAAATGCTTTGTCCGTCCCATAGATTATTGCTCTCTGGTGGCAGGTATTTTATGGATTAGCAAATTGAGTTTAGAGATGTTGGGAAATTTGTCTGGAGTTACAGAGTAGACAGTGGATCCAGGATGTAAATTCAGACATTCTGACAAAGTACACAGGCGCACTGAAGTTTAAGTAGATTTGTACATATTCCTGTGTTTTGAAGCTAAGCATCTTAAATTTATGTAGGGGAATTATTGACATCTACTCTTAATTCACAATTTCTTTAGAAACAAGATCTTTTCCTTTTAGAGTTTCAAATAAGGAATTGGCTGAAATAAAAGGATGAAACTTTTAGATCCTGTTAAAGATAAATTTTAATAATTCCTCAGGGAATTTATTACATAGAAAGCACATCTATGTTCTCCTGTTTTAGACCTGTTTAAGATGAGTTTTAATTATTCCTCAGGGAATTCATTACATAGAAAGTACATCTGTGTCCTCCTGCGTGTTGTACTAATAAAACAACCCACTTCTTAGCTTTTGCCAATATCATCCCCTTTTCCCTCCCTACCTTGAGCCTCTATGTTACTTTCTTCTAAGAGCATTTCTTCTTTTGGCTTCTGTAATTTTCCAGGTAAGACTGTAGGCATTATGATTAAGCCTTAGAATTTGATTGGCTAGAAATCTTTAAGGTTCTTTATGTTCTTGAATTTTATTCACTTTTAGAAGTGCATTTTAACACCCGGAAGTGAATAAGACTTGAATATTCCATGTTATTTTCTTAATCAAAACCTGTCCATTATTGGTACAGATTGTCTTCCTGCTGCGGGTGTTTCAGAACCAGAATTGTAGCAGTAGGGTTCGTTCTACTGGAATGGTATAACTAATGGACTTTCAACAGAAAATTTTCCCCTAGAAAGTAGTAGTATTAACAACAGTAAAGCTACCAGGTTTTAAGTGCCTGTTATGTATGGACCCGAACCAGGCTTTCTTCTCTGACCTAACCAGCTTCTTCACAGTCCTGCAATGTGTAGGAGTGATATCCTCTTTATAAAGGTTAAAAAAACTGAGGCTCAGTTGTTTACTAAAGTCACAAAGCAAAAGAGTGGTAGAAATTCTGGGACTTTTTTTCTCAGTGTAGATCTACTATTCCTATCTAGTATGCCATCAGATTTTTTGAAGAAAAGAACATTAACTGGCAAGGCTCTTTGAAGGAATTTCTTTTCTTATAAAGCCAGGCCAAATTTTGTCTCTGTTTGCTAATGTCTTATCGACTATGGGCAAATTACTAAGCTCTTGTGAACCCCATTTCTCTAATTTGTGAAATATTTGCTTCACAGTGTTGCTGTGAGGATTTGTGAGATAATATATATGAGACATAATGTTTCACAGACCAGGTTCTCAAGTGTTTGCACCATATAGTTGCACAGTCAAACTTTTATTTAGGTGTATACCTTATATGTCAGTAAATAAATTTTTATCTATGCCTTCTTAGCTATGGATGTTTCAAACAATAAAATGATATTTAAAAGCGAGGTCTTAATTCAGGGACTTATTTAGTTATTTTTATTTTTTTCCTGCCTGGCTTTTTAATGTCTGACTACCCTAAAGAAAATCTTTTGGATTAAGTTTTTGAAGTGAGTTCTGATATTAATAGTTCTTGTTAAGATGGAAAAGATGTTAATAAAAACACACTTGAGAAATATGTAAAGTGGGATCTGAAAGGCTAGCATATTGGAGATGTATTGAAGTATACATATCTCAGTATTATTTCAATATTACATGCTATTTGCAAAGCTATTAATGCTGATGTAGATACTGATAGAGTTATTGTATAATCAGTTTTTAGAAAAAGAGAGTTTTGAGTTTTATTGATACAACCGTAGTTTGCTTTTGTGCAGATGGGCTGCTTCTTTATAGCATTTGTGATTTGACATTTGCCGTTAGTATTATCTCTTGACTCTATGCAGATGGCGTTACTTGACCCATGCAAGTTCATTTCTGAACCTCCAGATATGTGTCTGATGTCAAGCAGTGTGAGTTATTTGGTTAGATTGTCTTCTGAGGGAAGACTGTGTATTTTTTGGAACTTATTTGCATTGGAAATGATTCTATCATCCTTTGAAAATTTGGTGGAGAATAATTAGCTTGCTTTAATACAGTGATTCTCGTTTTTTGTTCTCAAAACTCTTTTGCACTTTTAAAAATTACTCAGAACCTCATAATTTTTCTTTATGTTATTGAACTCTATTGATATTTGTCATATTTGAAATTAAAATTGAATTTTTACTATATTAATTTAATAAATGTCTATTAAATCATTTGTTTTTTAGTCTTTCTTATTATTCTTTCAGAGACAGAGTCTCATTCTGTCACCCAGGCTGGAGTGTAGTGGCATGATCATAGTTTACTATAACCTGTAACTCCTGGGCTCAAGCAATCCTCTTGCCTCAGACTCCCTAGTAGCTAGGACTACAAGGATGCCTCACCACACACAACTAATTTTTTAAAGAATGTTTTGTAGAGACAGGGTTCTGTGATGTTGTCCTGACTGGTCATGAATTCCTGGCCTCAAGTGATCCTCTCACCACGGCCTCCTGAAGTGCAGGGATTGCAGGCATGAGCCACTGCACCCAGCCCCAAATCATTTAAAATAATAATACTAAATCTATCATATTACTATAGTATAAATAACATTTTTATGAAAAATAACTATTTTCGAAAATCAGAAAAAAAGTATGAAGAGTGGCATTATATCATATTTTTATAAATCATTTCAATGTTTGGCTTAATAGAAGACAGCTAGATTCCCATATATACTTTTGCATTCAGTATATTCTGATATCACACATTACATTATGTAGCCTCTGCAAAAGTCCACTACATTACACTCATGAGAACATGAGAATGAAAAAGTTAAATAATGTTTTAGTATGATTATGAAAACAATTTTCACCTCATATATCTTCTGAAAGGATCTTAGAGATTCTGGCTCACACTTTGAGAACCTCTCATTTAATGTGTGTATTACAATTTGATAAAGAGGTTGTAGTAGTTTTTTTTGTAACTAGAATAGGGTATTTAAAATGTTGCTGTACTGAAAGATTCACATTAGTGCTTTATGAAAAAGTTCTCCATTCATTAGGTGCTGTACATTGTTTTTGGTAGCCTTAATACTGCTGAGCTATGATATCATATCAGCCAGATTGGAATTAAAAGTGTCCTTTCAGCTATGAGGACCAATATGTATTGGTTTTTTGTTGTCTTTTCATCAAATAATCAGAAGAGCCTCTACCCTGCTGCCTGAATTGAAAATTATCCTTTACAAGAATGTTTAGAATCATGGAATTTCTCCATCCAGTGTGGTATTTGTGTGTTTAGAATTCTATGGAAATGGTGATCCTCATGTAATGAGGTATACTTATTCTAATGAAGAGCTTCTTTTATTCAAATGGTATACCATCTCTTTCTGGAGTAGTTATCTTGTAAATTATTTCTTTTGCTAACTGATAATACTCCTACTGCCATTCAGTCCTATATGTGTGCAATGGGGCAACAAAGTCATAGGCATCAACTCCTATATGACTGTCTTTTAGACATATGATGGGTTATGTTTTTCATTCCTTAGTCTTTTTTTTTTTAATATGCACAACTTCAGTTTTCTTTTATGTTGACATTAATCCATTATCAACACAATTTGGATACAGCTGTTTAGTGTTCTAATAGTACTGACATGTAGAATGCTTTTCCCCATCATCTTCAAAGATGTCACACTTCCAGTTGCTTTGCCAATTTAGGAACTGCTAACCTAATAATCTCATAAGAATTAAGATTATTTTGTCATGACTTTTTTTTGTAAATTCACATTGCCATTTGTTGATGTTAAGCTTACAATTAAGTAGTTTTCACAATCCATGACTTTTATCTTTTCTTTTTTCAAATTGGGGACTTTTGCCTTCATCTGACACTTACTATTTTTTAAAAAAATATTTCTCAAGAGATAGCAGTGATTCTGAGATCAAATGTATAAGTGGTTCTTGAACCTCATGATATGCTCTGTCAGGGTCTGCATACCTGAACTCATTTGAAGGGCTAGGATGTTCCTTACTACTATCTCCTTTGCTGTAGCTAGCATTCAATATTTATGGGTTTTGTTCCGCTCTTTTCTGTTTTAAGCTAATATTCTCTGTAGGAGAAGATGCAAGCAAAAGGATTAGTAAGAGAATGACTCTTTTATCTTTCCGAAGGAAAGAACATTTTTTGATTTGTTTCTTATTGTGATTTTGCCACCATTTTTTCTCTTATGTCCCTCTAGTTTTCTCAGTTTATGGCTACTAATGAAGCCACAGTATTTTATTAGATACCAATCAATTTTTTCTCTTTTTTTTTCAGTATAGTGATGGAAATTTCAATTTTTATTGCCACCCATTCTTTATACAACTCGTTTTCTAATTTTGAAAAATATATCCATAATTTTAGAAAATTTAGGTCTTGTATAAGCAGAATGCAGGAACTATATCATCTGTGAACCCACCATTATTCAGTCATAATCACTGCAAATATTTTGGAGTATATATCTTTTAAAATAAAAACACTTAAAAACTAGGTCACACAGGATATATAATTTTGAACCTGCTTTTATGTTCCTTAACATTTTCAATGAGAATAATCTATAATGTAATAATTTTTAATGGTTGCAGAGTAGTATTATTATTTGCTATTGAAGATTCAAGTTTTATCTAGTTTTTTACTGTTATAAATAACATTGCAATAAAGACTCTTACGCTAAAATAACATTGCAATAAAGACTCTTACGCCAAAAAAAAAAAAAAAAAAAAAGCCTGGCGTGGCATGTGCCTATAGTCCCAGCTACTTGGGAGGCTGAGGTGGGAGGATTGCTTGAGCCTGGGAGGTTGAGGCTTTAGTGAGTCATGACCATGCCACTGCCCTCCAGGCTGGTGACAGAGTGAGCGCCTGTCAAAAACAAAAACAAAAAGACTCTTATGCTAAATATTTACTCAGGTGTATATAAACTTTTTGAATGTACTCCTATCACTAAAAATTTTGCATACAAAAGTACTCACTGGTTTTGGGTGGAGAGTTATTTGGATCAGATGTATCTTTTGTCTGTCTTTAATTTGTGGGTATATATCTGAATATGTTCATACTGTATACTCTAAAGTGATATGCCCATTTTCTCCCAAGTTTCTTTTCACTTCCACATTGTCTGCTATTTTAGGTTATTCATTACTATTTTTACTTTAAAAGGGATAAAATTTTCATGAGGAAAACTCAAGAATCCTGTGTTCTACTTTTAGCTGACTGTGATGTTTAGGAAAGATCAACATAGTTGAAGTAATTTATCTGCTATTACAGATCTTTGAAGTTTTATAATCTGTATTAGGAAAACCCAAGCCATATATTTTATTGATCTTGGTTGTATGTTGCTTTTTTCCCACTTAAGAAAAAACTGCAGTTGGTAGTCCTTTTAAAGAGAAAGCTCCAGTGAGATAGAGAGATGAGCATAATACTCGAAGAGCTGTATATGGAAGAAGGGTGGTCCAAGGGTTATAACTAGGATTTCTGGGTAAAAAATATGTAAGGACAGATCTCAGCTCAGTCAAACCTTTTCAATTTTCAAAGTCCTTTAAATATACCAACCTCTTTTGGCAAGTAGTGAGACTTGTTATTGAAGATTTAGAAGAACATGCTGAATCATCACTTTTGTTGTGATTTGTGGAAAGTCTGATTTTTATGACTTTTAAGATACCTGTCAACCTGAAGCATTTTTGAGGCCATATATTGTCTTGTTATAGATGTGGGTAAAAAAGCATTATTAATATATTAAGCTCACAATGAGGAGCTTAAATATATGTTTCCAATTTATGGCAATAACAGATTTTGAACTAATTTGCTCTTGATTGGAATGGTTGCTCAAGGAGTAAGACAAGTTTGACAAATTTCATACTACTCTGTTTGATACTGTTCACTCATTCATTTATTCAGTCATTAATTCTGTACTCTGTGCCAAGTACTTTTAAGTTTGGGGACATAAAAGGTATCTAACAAAGTTTAATCAACCTCCTCCCATTATCTTGCTTTCTTAAGTCTCTCCTTTTGGATCTTTCATACATACATTTAAGAAGGGAATGCTGGAAAATTGTATGTGATATAATGAATGTTGTTAGGAATGATTTGGAAGAGCACATGGATACTTGGATTAGATGTATGGAGAGTTACATGTAATATATTGATATGGGGAAGAAATAAGATAAATGCATTTTATTAGTAAAACAAAGATATGTTTCTGTTAATCGTATTTGAGATAAATAAAAACATTTTGGATAATATCAGTTTGTAAACATAAATAAGTATGGTTATTAGATTTAGAAATTGCTGTAAGCATTCACTCAAATATTTAAGATTTAATACATAAATTTTAAGTTATATATATATGTGTATGCATGCATGAGCACATACATACATACACACATAATGGTTGAAATTTGTCTTCTGAGACAATTAATATCAGAATATCCTTCTAAGAATCAAGGAAGCTGTCAATTTGCCATATACATGAAAATGTAAAGTAAGCTTTTAAATATGTAGTGGTACCTAGCTTTGACTTATTTACTATGCAGCTAATTATAGTATGTGGGGAATAAATAGTGTTCACATTCCAAGTTGTCTTAATTAAGTTGTAAGTGACCTTGGTTTTAGCTTTGTAAATTGTTGTGTAGATTAAGTACCTGTAAATAATGAGCATTAGTTATTCTGTAAATATAATTTATCTAATTCTCTGCAAACAGCCACAATTTGCATAGAAATTCTTCTTAAGAGATAAATAAATGCTGTCATAATTTTCATGGTCATTTTCTTATGTTATTTATGACCTTATTTTATAATGTATGAATACTTAATAATTTTCTATGCCACAATTCAGAGTAAGAATAATTTATAAAGTTTTAAATAACATTATCTGCTATTTATAATTATCCATATTCAGATCCATATGAACTGTCAATTCAAAACTGTTTTCAGGTTTTAACATTTTCTTCTCTTATTATACTTCATATTATTAGTTTTCAATATGCATATTTTAAAATTTCACATGCAAATCTAAAATTGCATCATATCTCAAAGAAAGACATTTCCTAAATTGCATAGTTTTTCTTTGCATAGTATGCTTACTGTAATTTATAATGTATGCTGTTTATTACTTTAATGTATAGAACAACTTTAATTTTTAAAAACTTTTTTGGTCATACTATTTACCATGTTTTAAAATTTTTTTAAATTTTGTTTTTAATGGACACATAATTATGCCTCTTTATGGGGTCTAGTGTGATGTTTCAATACATGTATACATTGTTTAAAAATCAAATCAGAGTGTTTAGCATAACCATGACCTCATACATTTATCATTCCTTTTTTACATTAAAAATCCTCTTTTCCAGCTTTTTTGAAATACCCAACACAATATTGTTAGCCCTAGTCATCCTACTGTGCACTAGATAGGCCATAACTTATTCCTCCTCTCTAACTGTAACTTCGTACCCATTGGCCAAACTCTCCTTGTTCTCCCTCCACCCCCAATCTCCCCAGCCTCTGGTAATCACTATTGTACTCTCTCCTTCTATGAGATCAGCTTTTTTAGATTCCACATGTGAGTGAGATCAAACAGTATTTGTCTTACTGTGCCCGGCTTATTTTACTTAACATAATGTCCTCCAGGTTCATCCATGTTGTTGCAAGAGACAGGATTCCATTCCTTTTTACAGCTGAATAGTATTCCATTGTGTATATACTATATATTTATCTATTCATCTGTTGATGGATGCTTAGGTTGATTCATATCTTGGCTGTTGTGAATAGTACTGCAGTAAATATGGGAGTGCAGGTATCTCTTCATCATACTGATTTGTTTTCCTGTGGATATATACCCAGTAGTGGGATTGCTGGATCATATGATAGTTGTATTTTTAATTTTTTGAGAAACCTTCATACTGTTTTTCATAATGGTTGTACTAATTTACATTTCTACTGACAGTGTATAAGAGGTCCCTTTTCTTCACATCTGCACCAACAGTTGTTTTTTGTTCGTTTGTTTTTTGTCTTTTTGGTAACAGCAATTCTAATTGGAGTGAAATGGTACCTCATTGTCATTTTGATTTGCATTTCCCTGATGATTAGTGATATTGAGCATTTTTTTCCTATACCTGTTGGCCTTTTGTATGTTTTCAGAAATGTCTATTCAGATTTTTTGCTCATTTTTGATGGATTATTTGTCAGATTATTTTGCAATCGAGTTGTTTAATTTCCTTATTATTCTGGATATTAGCCTTCCTAAACACGTAAACCCTACCAAAATTGAATCATGAAGAACCAGAAAATCTGAACAGACCAGTAACAAGTAATGAGATGAAATCAGTAATAAAAAGTCTCCCATCAAAGAAAATTCCAGGATCTGATAGCCTTTACTTCTGAATTCTGCCAATAAAGGCCTTGTAATAGTTCTACTCAAATTATTCCAAAAACTTGAAGAGGAGTGGATACTTCCAAAGTCATGCTACAGGCTAAGCACTATCCTGATACCAAAACCAGATAAGGACACAACGAGAAAAGAAAACTATAGGCCAGTATTGCTGATAAACATAGATGTAAAACATTCTCAACAAAGTACTAGCAATCCAAATTCAAAAGCACATTAAAGGGATCATTCACCATGACCAAGAGGGATTCATCCCAGGGATGCAAGGATGGTACAAAATATGCAAATAAATAAACATAATATATCACATGAATAGAATGAAGGACAAAAACTTCCTGATCATTTCAGTAGATGCAGAAAAATCACTTGGCAAAATTCAACACCACTTCATGATTAAAACCCCTCAACAAATTAGAAGGAATGTACCTCAACATAACATAGCTAATATATGACAAACCTATAGCTAACATGATATTGAATAGGGAAAAGTTGAAAACTTTTAAGATCTGGAATAAGATGAGGATGCCCACTTTTGCCACTTCTATTCAACATAGTACTTGAAGTCCTAGCCAGAGCAGGTAGGCAAGAGAAAGAAGTAAAAGACATCCAATGTGGGAAGGAAGGAGTTAAATTGTCCCCGTTTGCAGACAACATGATCCAATCTTATGTATAGGAAACCCTAAAGACTCTTAAAAAACTGTTAGAATAAAATTTAGTAAAGTTCCAGGATATAAAATCAACATACAAAAATCAGTATCATTTGTATATTAATGCATTAAAAGCAAACTATCTGAAAAACAAATCAAGAAAACAATTCCATTTAAAATAGCTACACATACACAGAATACCTGAGAATAGATTTAATCAGGGATGGGAAAGATCTCTACATTGAAAACATATAAAACATTGATGAAATAAATTGAAGAAGATGCAGATAAATGGAAAGATATTTTGTACTGGTGAATTGGAAGAATTAATGTTGATTACATGTGTATACTCCTAAAGTGATCTATAGGCAGTTCAATCCCTGTCAAAATACCCGTAACATTCTTTACAGAAATAGAAAAAACAATCCTAAAATTTGTATGGAATCACAGAAGACCCTGGATAGCCAAAGTAATCTTGAGGCATCACACTACCAGACCTCAAAATATACTTCAGAACTCTAATAATCAAAAGAGCATGGTACTGGCATAAAAATAGACACAGAGACCAATAGAACAGAATAGAGAATGCAGAAATAAATCCATGGGCTTATAGCCAACTGATTTTTGACAAATGTCCCAAGAAGACACAATGGATAAAGGACAGTGTCTTCAATAAATGGAGCTGGAAAAGCTGGATATTCATGTGCAGAAGATTGAAACTAGACCTTTATCACAATGTACAAAAATCAACTCAAAATAGTGTAATGACTTAACTGATATCTGAAATGATAAGTCTACTAGACAACAACATAAGAGAAATGCTTCTTGACATTGATCTGTGTAAGGGTTTTTTTGGATAAGACCCCCAAATCATAAGCAATAAAAGCAAAAATAGACAAATTGTATTACATCAATCTAAAAAGCATCTGTACAACAAAGGGAACAATAAACAGAATGAAAATACAGCCTAAGGAATGGGAGAAAATATTTGCAAACTATTTCTGAGAATAACTCTAATTTTTGAAATGCATGTTCTGTGTAATTAAAGAGGAAATGTATGGGTTTTCTTCAATTGGTAAGAATCAGAATGTGTCTTTTTTTTTTTTTCCTCGAAGGCTTATTGGGTAGGCACTGATGCATTATATGGTTTTTAGATGCTTATACTATGCCTAGAAACTCAGCCAGATTCGAGAATTTGGAAATTATTCTGTGTTAATAGTTAACATTATTCCAGTTTCATAAAATAAACTTCTGGAGCTTTCTCTTCTGTTTTCAAAAGTTTCTGTCAGAAAACAGTTATCTATCCATGAAAGTTTAATACTAGTATGCCTCTGAAATAATACAGCCCGATCTCTTTTGGAGGACCAACTTCAATTACCAATTTGAATTTTCCAGTAGTTGTTTGTTTATTCAGACTTTCTATTGCTAAGTTGTTTGATAATTATATATTTTTGAAATTAGCCATTTCTTCTGAGTACTTAGCTTTTTGCTATAAAGTTGTTTGTAATGTGCTCTTATTTTAAAAAAATTATGCTAGCTTTTAGTTATATTGCCTCTTTCTTATATCTGTCTCTTCTATGCTTATCTCCTTTTTGCTAGCATTGTGTTTGCCTTGTTTTCAGAAAAGCAGCTTTTGTTTTGTTGCTCTTTTCGTTATTTTTATTTTTCCCACATATGTTTTGGGATTTAATCATACAGCATGTGTTCCTTATAATAAGACATCTGACAGTTTTCCAGTTTTTAAATACTGAAGAGGTTGGGATAAGCCTAAAGGTCTTCTAATTAAACCCAGTGATGACAAATATACTTCTTTCACAATGACAGTGGGTTTCTTCTTTAAAAATGTTAGACTGTTTACAAATACTTGTTTCCTTATGCTATCAATAGTAATTGTGCTAACATTTGAAATATTCTAAGCATTTTTATTGTATGTGAAAAATAAAATAAATTCTAATGTGAAATTCCAAAAGAGATTTATATTTTACGACCTAATGACAAATCTCATAGAAAACAACCTTGTATTAGTCACTGATTCCCTCCTTTTATTACTTATTCATTTTTTCCACAAAGATTTGATAAGCATCTTTTATATATAAGACATTTAGCTAGATAATTTTTGTTTAAACCACACTCACTCACACTGTCACCCAGGCTGGGGTGTAGTGGTGCTGTCTCGGCTCACTGCAACTTCTGCCTCCCGGGTTCCAGCGATTCTCCTTAAGTAACTGGGATTACAGGCACGCACCACCACGCCTGGCTAATTTTTGTATTTTTAGTAAAGATGGGGTTTTGACATGTTGGCCATGCTGGTCTCAAACTCCTGACCTCAAGTGATCCACCCTCCTGGGTCTACCAAAGTGCTGGGATGACAGGCATGAGCCGCCAGGATTTCAGCCTTTAAAAGCGCGCGTCCTGCCACCTTTCACTGCGGCCCTTCACTCTGAATGACACATCCTTCAGTTTTACAAACATTTACCAGCATTAAGGGAATAATCATTTTCATCGATAATAGCTTTACAATTATTTTTTTCTTGAATTTTATACCATATTTTGTATTTAATTAATAAACTAATTTTTGGAGCAGTTTTACATTTACAGAAAAAATAAGTGAAACGTATAGAGTTCTTGTATATCTACTCCCCTTATTTTCTCCTAACATCTTGTATTAGGGTAGTACATTTGTTATGATTGATAAGCCAATATTTACACATTATTATTAGTTGAAGTCCATAGTTTACCGTAAGATTACAGAAGGATTCACTCTTGGTATTATACATTGTATGGGCCTTGACAAATGTATACTGGTATGTATCTACCATCACAGTATTATACAGAATAGTTTTACCACCCTAAAAAGTCCTTTGTGCTGTACCATTTCATTCCTCCCTTCCCCTGTAGCCTTGGGAACCACAGATCTTTTTACTCTTACCATATTTTTCTTTTTCCAGATGTCATATAGTTGAAATCATATAGTATGTTGCCTTTTCAGATTGGTTTCTTTTCTTAGCATTACGCATTTAAGATTCCTCCATGTATTTTCATGGCTTGACAGTTGTGTGTTTTTTTAGCATTGAATAAAATACTCCATTATACAGATATAGTACAATTTGTTTATTCATTCACCTATTGAAGGATATGTTGGTTGCTTCTAAGTTTTGGCAATTAAAAATAAGATTTTTAATTTCATTAATTAAGCTTTATATTTTATTTCCTTCTTTGTTTTTCTAGTATAGCTCAGCTGTATTTATTTGTGAACACTTTTCTCATTTCCACTCTTCAAAATTTCTAAGTGGTGCTTTAACTGTATTTCATTTGCTGTGTAGTTTTTATTGTTTAATTGTAATCCATAAACTAGATGAACATCTTTTAGTTTCTAAGCTTTTGGGTTTATCATTCTTCCCCTACCCTTTTATATTGTCTGTGGGATTGATAATATTTTTATATTCCCTTTTATTCTCTTTCTGGTTTAGGAGCTAATAGATTGAATTTTACGTCTGGTGCATACTCTTAAATTTGTTTTAAACATGAATGGGTAGCTATGAATGCTTCTTCCAACCACTGAATACCTTCCTTTTGTCCATCTTACTATTTTTGAGAGCTTTCTTTCTTTTAAGTTAAAAATGATTTATTCATTTGAGTGTATAATTAAATTTACTGGCATGTTTTATAAGTGTGCTCTTCCTTTCTTATATTCATGATTTTCCTTTAGATTCATTTTTCTTCTTACTACAGTACTTCATTAAGAATTCTTTTAGAGAGGTTCAATGGGTGCTAAGTTTTTAGTCTTTGTATATCTTAAAGTGTTTAAATTTTTTTCTCATTCTTGAATAATAAGAATAATAATAGTTTGTTGGCAATTACATTCTAGGAAGATTATCTTTCTCTCAGCACTTAAATGTATCACCCCACTTCCTTCCAGCATCATTTGCGGTTGCTGAAAGACTTGCAGTCTTTTTGTTATTCCTTTATAAGCGTTCTTTCTGAATATTCATGTATTTCTATAATCATTTCTATAATCCTAGAACATTCCAGGCTATAATCTTTTAAAATAATGCCTTTCTGTCATTCTTTCTAGTCTTCGTCTTTCAAAAATCCTATCAGAGATATATTGGAACCTCTCACTCTATATCTTCCATCTCTTCAATACTTTAAAATTTTTTTAAAATCTATTTACTTCTGTCTTGCATTCGAGGTGAATTCTTTGTACTATTTCCACAGAATTATCTGAGGAATTTTTAGTGATTATTTTTTATTTCTTGATTTCTGCATGTTTCTTTTTATATCCACCAGTTCTTCTTTAACTTTTTTGTTTTGTTTTATAAATTCCTTTTTTAATAAAGCAACTGCTTTATCTTTTCAGCTTTATAATACTTATTTCAAAGTCTTTGTCATATTGTTTCATATTATTTTCTTATGTTTCATTGATGATTTTGTTGACTGCCAGTTTTAGTGTAATATTTCTTATGGTTCAGAATTTTAATTTTTAGACTGATCTTAATTTGAAGCTTCCCCCTTCACATTCCTCCTTACTCCATGCCCTAAATTTCTATAGTAGCTGTGGCCCCAGGAATCATTTTGATGGTAGTTCAACTTTTTTTTCATGAACGCAGAAGCTCCATGCCTAATCCCTGGCTTCCATTAAGATTAGCTCTAGTTCCCATTTGCATGGATCAATTTTTATCTAGGTTACCCAGCAGGAGCCAAACTACTGGCCTAGCTGTCCAGAAGTGGAGCTGAGCCTACTGCAACTTTTAGCTGTGTTCATTGCTTTGCCTATTTTGTTGAATTTCTGGTTGAGGGAGATATTAGTCTTATTTTTAAGTTCAAGTGTACCTTTTTGTTTGTTTTTTTTCCTTTTTTTTTTTAACCAGAAGAGTTGCATTAAAGTATGAATTTTGTGCCATCTTTATCATTTTAATTGATAATACCAGTTCTCTCAGCAGGCATCCTCCTTTTTCTCTCAAGCATAAAAGGGAAAGGGTTTTTCAAGATAATTTTTAGAAGAAATTTAAAAGTAAAATATATTTTATTGTTTTTATTTAAAGAGAAATGATTGTTTATAAGATCACATTTTTGTTGTGATAAACTGTTTTAGTCTTTTATAAATATTCTAAAACTTGAAAACAGAAGAATAACTAAACCCTTTCTACTTAGGGTTAAAATTGAAAACTAGTTTGATCAAGGTAAAAGAAAATTAATCATGATGTTATGTTGGTTTTAATAAGAATAACTTAACTGTAGCCTTTATAAGTATTTTGATGAATCTGAGGAAAACAAAACCAAGAAATCATACTTACTTATATTAGTCTTATTTATATTTTGCTTTACTTTGATAACTTTAACCCCGTTTTTAGTTTTATATGAGTATAGGTTCCCATAACTTAGTTGCTTATGCATTTTACATATCACCTGATGCCCAGAAACAGTGCTTTGTGATATAATCTTCTTGTGAATTGAATTTCTGTGAAGCAAGTTGTCTTGCAATCCCTTAAGTAGAAAGATTGATTCCTTGATAAATGCTATGTTTTCGTTTTTGTTTTTTTACAAAGACAAAGGACAGTTTATTACTTGCAGCAATAGCAGTAGCCTAAATATCAGCATTTGTATCTGTTCCAGGAGCCCCAATTCCCACAAGGCAACACAAAGAGGTACAGGTGGTACCTACACATAGAAATGCTGTGATTTTTCTTTTATTGTCCATATTCATAAGGAAAGAGAGTAAACAGTATTGCTTATATACTGATTGTCTACCATGAAATGTAATATATCTCATACAAATGTTATATCTATGTAGTGGGTTTTAGGTATTGCTTTCTGTGATAAATGTTCATTTCTTCTTGATATACAACAAATGAGCTTACTTGAAAAGAAATACCTTTCCCATTTGCTACATTTTGTGTCTGGTCATTCAGATACTCAGTTAAAATTTTAGTTTTTTTGTCTATAAGTTGCTATTCCTTTTCTTAACTAGCTTTGCTCTAAATGCCGTCTCCTACTTGAAAATAATATGTGGTAGTCCCCTCTTATCCAAGTTTTGCTTTCTGTGGTTTCAGCTACTGACAGTCAGCCACATTCCGAAAATATTAAATTATAAGTTCCAGAAATAAACAACAAGGTTTTTAAATTACATGCCGTTGTGGGTAGTCTTGTACCATCTTGCTCTGTCCTGCCTGGGACGTGAATCATCTGGTTGTAGACACTTAGTAGCCTCCTTGATTATCATATTAGCTGATTTCTTCTTGGTTATCAGATCGACTGTTGCAGTATCACAGTGACTGTGTTCAGTAACCCTTATTCTACTTAATAATGCCCCCCAAAGCCAAGAGTAGTGGTGCTGCCATATTATTATAATTATTCTATTTTATTATTGTTGTTGATCTCTTACTGTGGCTAATTTATAAATTATACTTTATCATGTATATATAGGAAAAAACATAGAGGTGACAGCATGCTGGCATTCCTCACAGCCCTCGCTCGCTCTTGGCACCTCCTCTGCCTGGGCTCCCACTTTGGCGGCACTTGAGGAGCCCTTCAGCCCGCTGCTGCACTGTGGGAGCCCCTTTCTGGGCTGGCCAAGGCCGGAGCCGGCTCCCTCAGCTTGCGGGGAGGTGTGGAGGGAGAGGCGCCGCCAGCGGGAACCAGGGCTGCACGCGGTGCTTGCGGGCCAGTGCGAATTCCATGTGAGCGTGGGCTCGGTGGGCCCCGCACTCAGAACGGCTGGCGAGCCCCGCCAGCCCTGGGCAATGAGGGGCTTAGCACCTGGGCCAGCAGCTGTTGTGCTCAATTTCTGGCCAGGTCTTAGCTGCCTTCCCACGGGGCAGGGCTCAGGACCTGCAGCCCGCCATGCCTGAGCCTCCCCGCCACTCCATGGGTTCCTGTGCGGCCGGAGCCTCCTCCATGAGCGCCGCCCCCTGCTCCACGGTGCCCAGTCCCATCGACCACCCAAGGGCTGAGGAGTGCAGGTGCACGGTGCGGGTCTGGCAGGCAGCTCCACCTGCAGCCCAGGTGCGGGATCCACTGGGTGAATCCAGTTGGGCTCCTGAGTCTGGTGGGGACTTGGAGAACCTTTATATCTAGCTAAGGGATTGTAAATACACCAATCGACACTCTGTATCTAGCTACTCTGGTGGGGACTTGGAAAACCTTTGTGTGGACACTCTGTATCTAGCTAATCTAGTCGTGGAGAACCTTTGTGTCTAGCTCAGGGATTGTAAACGCACCAATCAGCACCCTGTCAAAACAGACCACTCGGGTCTCTGTAAAATGGACCAATCAGCAGGATGTGGGTGGGGCCAGATAAGAGAATAAAAGCAGGCTGCTGGAGCTAGCAGTGGCAACCTGCTTGGGTCCGCTTCCACACTGTGGAAGCTTTGTTCTTTCGCTCTTTGCAATAAATCCTGCTGCTGCTCACTCTTTGGGTCCACACTGCCTTTATGAGCTGTAACACTCACCACAAAGGTCTGCAGCTTCACTCCTGAAGCCAGCCAGACCACGAACCCACTGGGAGGAACGAACAACTCCAGATGCACCGCCTTAAGAGCTGTAACACTCACCGCGAAGATCCGCAGCTTCACTCCTGAGCCAGTGAGACCACAAACCCACCAGAAGGAAGAAACTCCGAACACATCGGAACATCAGAAGGAGCAAACTCCAGATGCGCCACCTTAAGAGCTATAACACTCACTGCGAGGGTCCGCGGCTTCATTCTCGAAGTCAGTGAGACCAAGAACCCACCAATTCCGGACACAATAGTATATATAGGGTTTGATATTCTGCAGTTTTCAGACACCCACTGGAAGTCTTGGAATGTATCTCCCCACCGCG